>NT_167246.2:2535342-2766386 GCF_000001405.40 Homo sapiens
GGCCAAGCCCTGTTCCAAACCAGCCTGCTCTAGTCACCTGAAAGGAGGCAGAGGGTAGAAACAGAAGACCCAAAGAGGGAAGACACCCAGAGGGAGGGAAGAGGATGTAAGGTGTGAAAAGATAGAAAACATAAGGAATGGGAGAGTAGGTGTCCTTCTGGGTGTGGGGCTCACCTGTCATTGATAAAGGCAATGCTCATCCACTTGATGTCTATGACGTGGCCCGGTAGGTTGGTAACCATAGAACTGGTCATTGAAAATCTTTTGGGGTCATTCCTGGACATGTGCAGAACAGCAAACAATTTTAGTCACCTGATGTGTTTCCTTGGCTTCCTGTTCAGTTTTCCTTAGGCCTCAGCTGCTGCTATTGCTGCTGGCTGCTCTCCACATTCTCCTAAATTCCAGACGGGTGTGAGGAGGTAAGGGCAGGAAGAAATAGTGGATTGTGGATTGAGGTGCGATTTCCCACCACTGGAGGGGACAGATTCATAAGCTGGCATTGAAGAGGTTCCTGCCCTTTGCACAGTGTGTTTGGTCACCCCAGTGCTCAGGCTGAACCCTGAGAAGAAAGAGGAACTTGACTGTCTGAAGGCTCTTGGGTGGTGTTTAAGACCCCTGGCCACTGTGTCCTGGCTGAATGTATACATGCAGATGGAATCTCTTTCTTTCTTTTTTTTTTTGAGACGGAGTCTCGCTCTGTCTCCAAGGCTGGAGTGCAGTGGCGCAATCTTGGCTCACTGCAAGCTCCGCCTCCTGGGTTCACGCCATTCTCCTGCCTCAGCCTCCTGAGTAGCTGGGACTACAGGCACCCGCCACCACACCCGGCTAATTTTTTGTATTTTTAGTAGAGACAGGGTTTCACTGTGTTAGAATGGTCTCGATCTCCTGACCTGGCGATCCGCCTGCCTCGGCCTCCCAAAGTGCTGGGATTACAGGCATGATCCATTGCACCCGGCCTCGATATAGAAGTTTTTAAGAGCCAGACGCTTGAACTTGTGGGCATCGGTTTGGGGAAAGAGTCAGTTGGAGTAAAGTTATCTTGAGGCATTAACTTTTTTGCTTCTTAAGGCCATTGGTCTTTTATGCTAGTCTTTCTACAAACATAACATGAGGAAACGCCTAGGCTGGCAGCAATGTTTTCAGCCAGCTGAACAAATAGGTTTTTGGCTAAAGGAGGAGGCTCTGGTAACTTCTGGTTTATATGCTCAAAGAATGACTTAAAGACTCAGAATTGCTCCTGGGCTGACTGCTTGGTTCAAGTCTTCTTTATAATATACAAAGTTGTTTTAGCTTTTTGACCGTAGCTTTGTAATGCCATGGAGTAGCCTATAGTCCATACAGGTAGATTTGGCCTTAAGATAGTAAGATTTACAGGATTGCAAATGCTTGTCTTACTATCTGGTTTTGCTGGTACTTTGATGAGCAAGATTGGCTTTGGCCTCAGTGATGATCGGTCAGTGAACTGCATTGTGCAGTTCCAGCAAGCTATTGCTAGGGCCTTGGAGGGACAAACAGGGAGTGTACATACAATTTTATACTGGCAGTTTTTATAGTACTTTGTAGGACTAGAGATTGTGAGATAGGTTGGGTTCATGGATGTTAACTGACAAATATCAAAGTATATGGATATAGCCCCCACCCTGGGAAGGAGAGGCTTGGGTTTGACTTACAAGACTTCTTTTTTTTTTTTTACTTGTATGAATCTTAAACTAAGTCCTAGGTAAAGACTTCGGTCATAGCATATATAAGGCTGGCCATTTCTTGGGTCACAAATTGAACAGGTGGTCTGATTATAAGTACAAGTTCTTTTTTTTTTTTTGAGACGGAGTCTCGCTCTGTCTCCAAGGCTGGAGTGCAGTGGCGCAATCTTGGCTCACTGCAAGCTCCGCCTCCCGGGTTCACGCCATTCTCCTGCCTCAGCCTCCCGAGTAGCTGGGACTATAGGAGCCCACCACCACGCCCGGCTAATTTTTTTTTTTTATTTTTAGTAGAGATGGGGTTTCACCGTGTTAGCCAGGATGGTCTCGATCTCCTGACCTTGTGATCCACCCGCCTCGGCCTCCCAAAGTGCTGGGATTACAGGCGTGAGCCACCGCGCCCGGCCTTATAAGTACAAGTTCTTAAGCGAGTCTTTGTACACTTATAAGTATGGTACAACAGAGTTCTAGTTATACTGTTCTTTGACTACGTAGTATGTGTACAGTGGGGACACTTTTCTGTCAGTGTTTCTTCTAGTATGGTTAAGGGGGTAACAACATCAAAACAATGTACAGCATATTTAAATCTAGCAAGGACAAAAGAGGTCTTTATTTGGGGGAGGAGGTTGAGCACAGTGACAGAACAATAGGAAAACAGTTAGTATTACAGGAAAACTACTAGTCTTAAGATTTCTAACTACATTTACTTGCTTGATGAGTCTTTAAGCTTCAGCCGTGCATAGACTAGTCAGCTTCCGGTGTGTGACTAGAGCAAGGCTTGTTGTTTCTTCAAACTTCAGCTGTGCGTAGACTGGTCAGCCTCCGGAGTGACCAGAGCAGGGCTGTCGTCTTCAGCAGCAGCTTGGTCTTGTCTCAGGATCAGCCGGGTTGGATGATCTGGGTGTTGCTGGCTGGTTCACTTGTCCTGAGCTGCCGATTTTAGCTGACTGTGATGGAGTTAAGGCACGATTCTTGCAACTTTAACAGCAGTGGGAGTGGACAAGATTACTCTGTGGGGCTTATCTTACATGGGTCTTAGAGAAGTTGGGTTCTACTTTTTAACTTAAACAAAGCTACTAGGTTTAAAGGGTTTACTGGGTCTGTTAGACTTCTAGGCATTCTTTTATGTACTTAACTATGAACACTTTGCATGGCTGTTTCTAAAGCCTGCATTTGATTTCTTAAGGTTAGTTCTTTTAGTTCTTGGAGATCA
Source organism: Homo sapiens (assembly GCF_000001405.40). NCBI lineage: Eukaryota > Metazoa > Chordata > Mammalia > Primates > Hominidae > Homo > Homo sapiens. Next base: position 2,538,253 of record NT_167246.2, read on the forward strand.
CTTTTAATTTGACGGTGGCTGATTGAACAAAATCTTATAGGGTAAATACTTAGTTTGTTTGGTGGGGGTGCGCTTGGCTCAGAGGAGGACTATAGGCAAGACTTGATTCTGTCTCAGATGAGTTTCTTGGCAATATTTCTTCAGTAGCTGCTTGAGTGTCTGGTTCATGCATTCTACAGTAAAATAATTTTTTTTCTCTTTTTTTCCTTCAACTTTGCTCTAGAAAAAAGAAGTGTCCAAGGCCTATTTTTTTAGCCCTAGCTATTCAGACAGTGTTATCTTATAACTGTCCTTGGGTTGGGCACGGTGGCTCACATCTGTAATCCCAGCACTTTGGGAGGCCGAGGTGGGCAGATCACGAGGTCAGGAGATCGAGACCATCCTGGCTAACATGGTGAAACCCTGTCTCTACTAAAAATACAAAAAATTACCCAGGTGTGGTGGTGGGTGCCTATAGTCCCAGCTACTCGGGAGGCTGAGGCGGGAGAATGGCGTGAACCTGGGAGGCGGAGCTTGCAGTGAGCCGAGATTGTGTCATGGCACTCCAGCCTGGGTGACAAAGCGAGACACCATCTAAAAAAAAATATATGTATAAAACTGTCCTTGAGGTAAGCTTGCTAAGCAGAAAAAAACTTGTTCTTTTCTTTTTCTTTTTAACTTTTGCCTTGCCACATTCTAAGCCTTAGCTTTAACTTTTCTTAAAGTAAGTAAATGCAATACTTATTATTATTATTATTATTTTTAAATTTCTGCCTCAGAATGAATAAATTACATGTATTTTTTTTTTTGAAGCCATGCCTTTGGATTAGGGCAAACTCTAGGATATTTAAGTGAATTCCCTGAGGAATGTGGACACTGTAAGCAGGTGAGTGCATTATTCTCTGCTTCTCTCTCCCCACAGGGCCGTCGTTCACCCTCCTCCACCTTGTCCCCTGCACTGGGAGGCAACCACAACAGGCACGGCCCATGCTCCTGCACCACCTGGCTTCTGCTTGGGTGTGGATGATAACAGGCACCTGCAGGAGATGGGAGCATGCGGGGAGAAGTAACTCAGGGTTTTCATTTCCCTCACTCCCTCTGGACAGCTCTGTGGTTCCGTAATCATTGCCGTCCTCTACCTACAGCCACAGGCATGTGGGTCTGCCCCTAGTGAAAGCTACAGATTTCCTTGGGTTCTGGAAACTGCTCCCTTCGTTGCTCTTTCAAGCTTCAAGATGAAAACAGTTTCCTGCCAGGAATAATCCCAGGGAGCTTCAGCGCCCTTTGTGGCTTTCTTAGCCCTGCCGGCACCTGTGTAGAAGGTGCCATCTCAGGCCAGCGCGGTGGCTCAAACGTGTAATCTCAGCACCTTGAGAGGCTGAGGCCAGAGGATCACCTGAGGTTGGGAGTTCAAGACCAGCCTGACCAACATGGAGAAACCCTGTCTCTACTAAAAATAAAAAATTAGCTGGGCGTGGTGGCGCATGCCTGTAATCCCAGCTACTCGGGAGGCTGAGGCAGGAGAATTGCTTGAACCCAGGAGGCAGAGGTTGTGGTGAGCCGAGATCACACCATTGCACTCCAGCCTGGGCAACAAGAGTGAAACTCAGTCTCGGAAAAAAAAAAAAGGTGCCATCTCTTTCCTGCCAGGTCCCTGACTGACCACAGGGTGCTCCCACAAACGGAGAAGTGACAAGAATGTATTTAAGACATTGCACTAACACATCTATTCATGATGTTAATTCAAAAAATTGACTTACTACAATAAAAGGGAAAAATAAGAGTATTCTGGAAACAGAGCAGGAAGGAAGGCAAAGGTGAAAACAATCAATCTGGGGCATCTGAGAAGCCCCAAGTGCAGAGGCTGCCCTGAGTCTTTAGAGGACAAGAAACAGAACACACGACCCAAAAGTGAGAGACAGAGCCTGGCCGGAGCAGGATGATAATGGCTCTCCTACAGAGTACTATTCCTGTAAATCTCTGACGAGAGGGGTGAGATCAACATGTAAAAATACACACACACAAAGTGGAGCTGAGGGCAGGATGGAGAACTGTCATTCTCAGCCCATGACCTCCATGGACTTGGAGAAAGACTCAGCCTGGAGATGTGTGAGGCCTCCGACCTGGAGCAGCACCCGCCCCTAAAGACCAGGCACAAATCCCAGCACACGGAGGGATCCAGACAAATACACAAGAAATGACCACAGCAGGAACTTTATTGAGCACGGAGCAAGGGTGCACACCACGCAGCACCTGCCCCTCCACCTGTCCTTCTCTCCCCACCTGCCTCTGCCCCAGCACAGCAGGTCCTCAGAATCCAAAAAGAGAACCTAACCTGCATGTTCTCTCTCTCTCTTTCTTTTCTTTTTTTTTTTTTTTTTGAGACAGAGTTTATCTCTTGTTGCCAGGCTGGAGTGCAATGGCGTGATTTCGGCTCACTGCAACCTCCACCTCCTGGTTCAAGCAATTCTCTTGCCTCAGCATCCCGAGTAGCTGGGATTACAGGCAGCTGCCACCACACCCAGCTAATTTGTGTATTTTTAGAGATGGGGTTTTCACCATGTTAGCCAGGCTGGTCTCGAATTCCTGACCTCAGGTGATCTGCCTGTCTTGGCTTCCCAAAGTGCTGGGATTACAGGCGTGAGCCACCACGCCTAGCCTCCATGTTCTCTTAATAGTTTGTAATATCTTATCACAGCTTCAAAGAAAGGATATGAGAATAATAACTCATAGAGCAAGATATCTATTTAGAGTGAGTGAGTCACAGGGGAGATCTGGGAGGGAAACACTGCAACTCTTTCATTCCCAGAAAAAGAAGGTTGATCCAGGGAAGGGGACACCGGGCCTGGATATTGGGATTATGTGGAAGGGGTTCTGGGACATCAGGGGAATGGGCCCCTCTCCCTGTATCCTTCCTGGGCTATGCTTGGGAGGAGACACAGTTTATCAGCTGTGCAGCTGGGGGAAGAGAAGTCAGGGTCCAGAGACAAGGGGAGCTGAGAACAATCTGTGTCTTGCTGGTCTGCAGAAGGCAGCTCTCAAACTGTGGAGAACAGTTTGGGATGATGAAAATGTTCTAAAATTAGATATGGTGATTTAAAAATCCAAATATGTGAAAAACCATTGAATTGTATACTTTAAATGGGTGAATGATATGTGAATTATATCTTAATAAAGTTTAAGGAAAGAAATATAATGATATGTCATGACAAATCCACTAGAATTTCTAAATTAAAATCACTGACTATTTCAAATGTTGGTGCGAATATGGACCATCAAGAGCTGTCACACACTTTGTCTAGCAGTGTGGCATCATCTCTTTGGGTAGGATATCATATACATACACCAGTAATTCCACTCTTAGGCATATAATTTTGAAAGATATATGCTCATTGTGCCAACATACATGTGCAAGAAGGCTTACAACAGCATTGTTCGTAATTTTTAAAACCTGAAAACAAATAAAATGACCACAAACAAGGATTAATTTAATGTGTGGAATTCTATGAATAATAAACATGAACGCTCTAGAGACACCTATAACAACTTAGCAAACATACATTTGAGCTAAAATAAGGTCTCATAAGAATACACATAGCACGATTCCATTTGTATCAAAAGATTCAAAATCTATATGAAGTTTGAGATAACCTATATTGTTTTAGAGATGTATGCATGGGAGTAAAGCTTTAAAGAAAGGCGTGAACAGGATTACTATGAAATCAGGATGAGGGTGAACTCTCACGACAGCAAAGGGATTGTTATTGCTATCAGGATTGGTATGGAAACTTCCGTGTGTTTTTTTTCCTGACTTTTGTTTCTTTTTCACATGGATTTTCCCTTTAAAACCATTTGTTAAAATGTAAATATAATTCAGGCACTTCACTTTTGGTTGTAACTTACACTGTAAGACTGCTAAAAAAAAATAATATTAGCTACTTACGTGTAATTGGAAAAATTAACCTTTATTCACAAAAGAGATGGGCTGCCCCCTACACCACGAATCAGAGAAGAGACCATGAATTGAAATGGGAACTTGGAATTGTCATTATTCCGTAATTATACTCAGGATCCTGTCCATGAAACATTGGAATACCACTGTCCAACCTCCTTCTGCAGTGATGGAGTGTCTATATCTGAGCTATTCATTATGGCACAGATACAGACATTCATATTCTGTGAATTCTGAGTACTTGAAATATATGGCTGGTGCAAATAAGAAACTGGCTTTTAAAATCCATTTAATTTTAATTAATTAAAGTGTAAATAGTGCCATGTGGACAAGGCAGAATTACAGTGCCAAGACCAGCTCAGTCGGGGAGACCCTAACCCAGTGGCGCTAGAGGAATTAAAGACACACACACAGAAATATGGCGTGTGGGGTGGGAAATGAGGAGTCTCACAGCCTTCATTCCAGTAAACAGTCATTGTGACCGGTTGTCCCGCTTTCCTCAGGTTTTCTTCCACCATCTGTGACAGCTTCTTGATCTGTCCCCAGGTGGGTGGCTGTGTTCAACGGGTGTTGCTCGTGACAGTTAGGGTCCTCCTCAGCATCAGTCTCGACATGGCTGCAACCAGGGGGTCCTCGGGATCCTCCTGGAATCTCTTCCTTGGCATCTGGCTCATGATAAGGTTTTAGGTGTCTTGATAGTATCCAAATTGGCTGCTGGTTTTGGCCTGGAGAAACACAAGCATAACCTCTACCCAAGTTATTATTTTACCTATGTCCCAACTTTTTGTTATTGGATCTCTTCACCAAACCAGTTGTTCTGCTCCTGTCTTTGCAGCTCGTTTCTGTAGATGCTGTTCAGCTGCTGATAACATCTGGCCTTTGGGCAGCCTCAAAAAATTTAAAGTTAATAATGCTAGGTTCAGTTGTGTATGGGCTGTCTCGTAATCCCTGTTTCTCCCCCTTTTTTGTCATCAGTTGTTCATCTGTATAAATCATAACTGAGCATTTTCAATTAATTGCATGGAATGAACCATGTATAAAGAATCAGAAATCACATTAACAGGCATATCAAAAGCAGTCAGCACCTCAATTACAGCTACAAGCTCTGCTTTCTGAGCTGAAGTATAGGTTGCCTGGAAAGCTTTACCTTTTGATCCAGAATAAGAAGCTTTACCATTGCTAGACCCATCTGTGAAATAATGAAAATGCTTAGCAGGCTGCAGATTGTTTACCACAGGAATTGTAAATGCAAACCGTTCACTGTCTTGCTTAGCTAAGGGTATAGTAAAGAAAGAGTCCTTCCTGGCTGTAATGCTCCTATAGCTTGTATAACTGAATTAATGGCTCTTAAATCAGTTAACATTCTCCATTTACCTGATTTTTTCTTAATTACAAAAGCTGGAGAATTCCAAGGGGAAAGTGTTGTAGCTATGTTCTCATTTTCTAATTGTACATTAACGAAGTTCTCTAAAGTCTCCAGTTTCTCTTTACTTAGCAGCCACTGTTCTATCCAAATTGGCTTATCTGTTAACCATTTTAAAGGTATAGGTTCTGGAGGCTTAACAATGACTGCCATCAAAAATGATACCCTAAACCTTGGCGGGAACTTTGTCTCTCCACTTGAAGCATTTTTTTTCAAACCTTGCAAATTTTTTCCTAGTCCCATACCAGGGACATGCCCCATTTCATGCATCATATGTTGACTTTGAGGGCTATATAATTGCTCTGGAAGTAGAACTTGTGCTCCCCATTGTTGTAATAAATCTCTCCCCCATAAATTTATAGGTACGAAAGTTATAATTGGTTGAATAGTCCCAGGTTGTCCATCGGGCCCTTCACAATGCAAAATATAATGGCTTTGATATACTTCAGGGGCTTTACCAACTCCAACTGTTTTAAGTTGAGTGTGTTGAACTGGCCACGCAGACGGCCAGTGCTGTAGAGAAATGATTGAAATGTCCGCTCCTGTATCTACCAAATCTTTACATTTCTTTCCCTGAATAGTTATTTCACAGGTAGGACGTTTATCAGTAATTTGATTCACCCAATAAGCTGCTTTGCCTTGTTTATTTGTGCTTCCAAATCCTCCTGTTTGTTTAATTTCACTTTTCCCATTCCCACATACGGCACAATCAGGAGCTGTGCTATACACTCTCCTGGCTCTGCTTTCCAGGGAACAGAAGTAGATATAACAATTTGAATTTCCCCATTGTAATCTGAATCAATGACCCCTGTATGTATTTGTACTACTTTTAAACTTAAACTAGACCTTCCTAGAAATAATCCTATCGTTCCCGCTGGCAAGGGTCCACAGACCCCTGTTGGGACCTTTTGCAGGGTTTCCCCAGGCAGAAGGCTCACAGCTTTTGTGCAACATAAATCTACTCTGGTGCTACTGGCTGTGGCGGGGGACAGATATTGTACAAGGATGAGGGAATGGCCTGAGCCAGAAATGCCCCGGTTTGGAATGGGGCCCCGGGATGGGCCCCTCATGGTGTTTCCTGAAATCAGGTTCCCATCTTTATCAAACTTAGAGTGACACTGATTAGCCCAATGTTTTCCTTTTTTGCATTTTGGACATATTTCAGGCTCAGTAGTTTTCTTTTTTTCCCCTATATGGTGGCCTGACTTGCTGATTTTTTCTACATTGTTTTTTAGTGTGATCATGCTTCAAACAGTTAAAACAAGCTCCAGGAAATGGAGTATTTCCTTTATCCACTCTCAGTCCTGCCATTGCCTGTGCCAACAAAGTAGCTTTATGCAGATTACCTCCGATACCGTCACAGGCCTTGATATAATCAACTAAATGTGCTTTCCCTCTAATAGGTCGCAAAGCAGCCTGGCAATCGAGATTAACATTGCCAAAAGCTAATAACTGCAACACTATATCCTGAGCAGCTGAATCTGAAATCACCTTTTTAAGAGACTCCTGTCTTAAGAGATTCCAAGCTATAAAATCTGCATACAGTTCTTTTGGTCCCTGTTTTACAGCACTAAAGGAAGGGTATTGTTCTCCACCTGAAGTGATTTTTTCCCAAGCTCTAATGCACACTCCTCTAAGCTGCTCTATGGCATCATCCTGTATGACCACTTGTGCGTCTAAACCAGCCCAGCAGCCGACCCCCAAAAGTTGGTCCATGTTATATTAATTTGAGTTTGGGCCTGGGCATTGCAAGCAGCCTGAATGGAAGCTTCATCTGCCCACCAAGTTTTAAATTGTAAGAATTGAGCAGGACTTAGACAAGCTCAAATAAGAGTGTCCCCGTCAGTAGGAATCATCCGACTGGAAACAGCAACATTCTTTAACAGTCCCATTACAAAAGGAGAACCTGGTCCATACTGATTAATAGCTTGTTTAAATTATTTGAGTAATTTAAAAGGAAAAGGCTCAAATGTAGCTATAATATTTCCCTGTTGATCAGGTGGTGTATTCTAACAGGGAACTGCCAAGCCTCTATATCACCCTCTCGTCTAGCCTGCTGAACTCCTGCCTGAATAGAACTGACAGCAGTCGCTCGAGGTGCTGCTCAGTCACTGGGGCAACTACTTTTCGCCCAGTGTCCTCCAGAAAAGAAAGATCTGGAGGGTCTGGCCACTCTTTTTCTTCAAAATAATAATGAGGGGGTGCAGAAGGGTAGGGATGAACCTCTTCCTCCTGTGCCGCTTTAGCTTTAGCTGGCAAATAAACCTGCTCTGTAACCTCTTCTGTTACTTCGTCATACTCTCCTTCCTCCTCATCATCAGTGTGAAAAAGTTCCAAGGTGGAACGAACCAGAGCCCACACTTGTCCCATTGTTACCCGATGCTTCCAAGCTCCCCATCTTACTCACTACGAGGATTGCTTAAGAGTACTTGGGTGTCCTCCAGCTTAGTTCCCCATTCTCCAACTGTTGCTCTGGCGACCCTTCAACCTGGATTCGAGCCCCCACGTATGGGTGCTGCTTACTGAGACCAGCTTGGTGGGGGAGACCCTAACCCAGCAGAGCTAGAGGAATTAAAGATACACACACAGAAATATAGAGGTGTGGAGTGGGAAATCAGGGGTTTCACAGCCTTCAGAGCCAAGAGCCTTGAACAGAGATTTACCCATGTATTTATTGACAGCAAGCCAGTGATAAGCATTGTTTCTATAGATTATAGATTAACTAAAAGTATTCCTTACAGGAAACAAAGGGATGGGCTGAAATGAAGGGATGGGCTCTGGCTAGTTATCTGCAGCAGGAGCATGTCCTTAAGGCACAGATTGCTCACGCTACTGTTTGTGGTTTAAGAACACCTTTAAGTGGTTTTCCACTCTGGGTGGGCCAGGTGTTCCTTGCCCCCATTCCGGTAAACCCACAACCTTCCAGTGTGGGCATCATGGCCATCACGAACATGTCACAGTGCTGCAGAGATTTTGTTTATGGCCAGTTTTGGGGCCAGTTTATGGCCATATTTTGGGGGGCCCGTTCCCAACATTACAGAAACAATATGCAGCATCTACTATCACTATCTTTTTGTTCAGTCATCCATTATGTGAATGACAACTTCATTGTTACTAACTTTGGAAAGATCCCATTTCAAAGAAAAATGGGATTTCAGCTTCTTCAGTAGTAGATTTTCTTACACTCAGCAGCTAATAAAATATCTGAACCCCACAAAAAACCCCTGTTTATCTCTGTTATCTCTGGGTATAGAAAAATGCTGAATTCTCATTTGTATGTGAAATAAAGTGGTTTTTCAATAAGAAATTTTGCTATAAGGTAAGAATTTTATTCTAAATATAATTTCTTTCTTTCTTTCTTTCTTTCTTTCTTTCTTTCTTTCTTTCTTTCTTTCTTTCTTTCCTCCTTCCTTCCTTCCTTGTTTTTTGTTTTTGAGACAGGTTCTCACTCTGTTGCCGCGTCTGGAGTGCAGTGGTGCGATCTTGGCTCACTGCAACCTCTGCCTCCCAGGTTTAAGTGGTTCTCTTGCCTCAGCCTCCCGAGTAGCTGGGATTACAGGTGCCCACCACCATGCCTGGCTAATTTTTGAATTTTTAGTAGAGACGGGGTTTCACCATGTTGGCCAGGCTGGTCTCGAACTCTTGACCTCATTCCTAGAGCATTTTTTCCATTCATCTTTTATTAGTATTCAGATACACCTAGCAGCTGGTATGTTTTGTAGGATAGTTTTTGGTCATTCATTCTACCATGATTTAGCTTAGTATTAAAGGTTTATAGAATTTCCTTTTAGTTTGTAATTTAGAAACAAGATTGACATTTACTTCTTGTTCATATTCTCTAAGTTTTCACAACAGCTTCTCTCAGATAAGATCTCAAGGCCAGACATGGTGGCTCATGCTTGTAATCCCAGCACTTTGGGAGGCCCATATCACCTGGGGTCGGGAGTTCGAGACCAGCCTGGCCAGCATGGTGAAACCCCGTCTCTACTAAAAATACAAAAATTAGCCAGGCATGGTGACAGGTGCCTGTAGTCCCAGCTACTCAGGAGACTGAGGCAGGAGAATCGCTTGAACCCAGGAGGCGAGGTTGCAGTGAGCCGAGATCATGCCATTGCACTCCAGCCTGGCGGCAGAGTGAGACTTTGTCTTAAAAAAAAAAAAACAAAAAAAAAAAACTCCAATAATCTGTTCAAGGTTGAACTGCTAACAATAAGATTTGAAGTTAACATTTAATTAATTAATTTATTTTTTAGACTCAGGGCCTCACTCTGTTGCCCAGGCTGGTATGCAGTGGCACCATCAGAGCTTCCTGCAGCCTTGAACTCCTGGGCTTAAGGGATCCTCCCACTCAGCCTCCTGAGTAGCTGGGACTGCAGGTGTGCACCACCATGTCCAGCTTAACATTTTATTTTATCTGATAGTAGAGTGAAGCACTTGCATTACAAAAATAAAATACATACAAATTACAACAACTTTGCCAATCTAACATATGACCTCGAATGATAGTTAAATTAGGAGCCAGTCAACCACTTTCAAACATGTTTTTCAAAGTGAAATTTTAAAGGCAGTGTCATTGTTTACTTCTACTAATGCTCATAGGTTTAGCTGTGGTCCTGCTATAGAGTTTGTTAAGAAAACTTCCCTGAGTTGTTTTAAATGGTCTTATCAAAGCCAAACACTGAAATCCTATAATCATTGGAATTGGGAACAAAAGATACATTTCTAGGCTTTATTTTATTATAAATTAAAATCTTAGTGATGGTAGGATCATTTTTCCTTATGGATTTTTTCTAATATATTTAAAGCATAGATAATTGTGTTCAATCAGTTGTATTTTATGCTGAATCATTTGACCATGTGAGGAAAGCATATTTTTGGACTCTTATCCCATCTTGACCAGAGGGATCAGTAAAAACCTGGAATGAAGAAGTTCTTCATGTGCACATCTTTTTTTCTTGTGTGCACTGCCCTTCATTCACACTTCTGTGCATTCACACATTTGTGATTGCACGTTTTGGTATTGATTTAGAATCATTTATTAATTCCACAGTCAAGTTAATAAAATGGCATTGGGAATTAAAGATAAATTTTACATGCATTTTCTCAAAATTCATTACTTGATCCATTTATTCATTCTAAACCCATGTCAAATGCCATTCTTTAAACCTCATGTTTTATTAAAGTTGATTTCACTTATTAATTCAATCAAAAGCCATTGAAGTTTATAGCAAGAGGCATCAAAGAAGGCAGAATGTTTCTATCTGTTCTGGGATTAACGGGGCTAGAAAGATGGGAAGGGCAGAGGGACAAGAGGCCTCACAGAGACAGACAAGATATAAAGACACCTGCCTCCCTGGCCAGAAACCAACTTCCAGGATTCAGGATTCAGGAGTAAAGTGTCCCAATAATTAGAAGGTTTCCTGGTCTCTCTCAAATTCAGTGCTCATTTGGCCAGGGATAAGGCCCTCACACCCTTTGCTTTGAGGATCCAAGCTTAGAATGTGGCTGTCTCTGGGACATTTCATGCTAAAGAAAGCCCAGCAAGTGTAGACAAAGAGTCTAGAGGGCACCAGCCACCCTTCCATGGAACTCTGTTCAAGGCAACTCTCTGTGTTCTGTTACTTATATTGGCCGCGTCTTCAGGAATTTAGCGAAATGGCCATGTTGTCTCTGAGTGGAAGTGAGGGGAGGCCACTGGGCAGTCAGAGATTTTGAATCCCTGTTTCCTTTCCCCCCATCTCAACCAGAGGCCACTTGTGGAAGCCCAAGAAAAAAAGACACGAATGTCAGAGGTGAATCCAGGCTCATGAACCCATTGTGGTCACGGGACTGAAGCCACGTGGCCCAACAGTAATGAAGTCTATGAGGCCTTGGTAACCCCAAAGCTCTCTCCCAATTAGGAGCTGCCTCTCACTGCCATCAGGCACCCCAGGAGCTGGACATGTGGCATTCTTTGTCATGTCTGATGAGGAACTGGAGAGGTCCCAGAGCATATAGACCTTGATCGAATTGGAGCTAGAGTGGAGTCAGGCAAAACTCTGCATTGACTCAGAGGCACCTACATGTGAAATAAAGTCTCCACTCAGAGCTTTCATCAGAGCATCAGGCTCAGTAGCAATTCCTTTCTGCTGTTGCTGTATTTGCCCTGTGACAACTGGTGCTTGAAGGAAGGAGAAATCATTATGTGTGCAGGAAAGCACATGCAATTAGAAAACTGGGACATGATTCATAAGGCAGGAGGGACCCTTTTCTCTTTCGTGGTAGATGTGGGACTCCCTGTCATCTTTGTCCTGATGCCCCAAGTGCACAAGGTGAATTTTCCTGCTCTCAGTTGAGTGACCAACACTGGGAGCTGGAATTCAGAGAAACAGTGGCAGCCTCTCTCTCTCCATCCCCCATCCCAGTAAATCTAAGGCAAGGGCCTAGGGCTCTTGCACTTTATTTTCACCATGCATTTTCCTTCTCTGGTTAAGAAAATAACCAAATGGCCAGGCGTGGTGGCTCACACCTGTAATCCCAGCACTTCGGGAGGCTGAGGTGGGAGGAGCACCTGAGGTCAGGAGTTCGAGACCAGCCTGGCAAACATGATGAAACTCCATCTCTACCAAAAATGCAAAAATTAGCCAGATGTGGTGGCATGCACCTGTAATCCCAGCTACTCAGGAGGCTGAGGCATGAGGATCACTTGAACTCGGAAGGTGGAGGTTGCAGCCAGCTGAGATTGTGCCACTGCACTCCAGCCTGTGATAGAGTGAGACCCTGTCTCGACAACAACAACAACAACAACAACAAAAAAGGAAATAAAAAAAGAGAAAATAACCGAATGTGTAAAAATCAAGATTGCAATTCTGCAATTCTTGTGGCACCCAGAATACTGGACTAGACCAAGGGTGCCAGGTGCTTGTCACTGCTCCACCACTCAACGGCTGTGACCTCAGGAGAATCTCTCCAAGTCCTGGTGCTTGTTAATTCATCTGTGAGTCATGGATAAACACATCCATTCTAGTGAGAATAAATGAAAACACATTTCATCCTTACTGAGATGCAGTGAGTGTTGCCCCAGTACTAAGGGGTAAATGCAGAGAGAAACATTAGTTTAGGATTTTTTTTTTTTGAGATGGAGTTTCACTCTTGTTGCCCAGGCTGGAATGCAATTGCATGATCTCTGCTTACTGCAACCTCTCCCCCCGTGTTCAAGCAATTCACCTACCTCAGCCTCCCAAGTAGCTGGAACTATAGGCTTGTGCCACTATGCCCGGCTAATTTTTTTGTATTTTTAGTAGAGTTAGGGTTTCACCATTTTGGCCAGACTGGTCTTCAACTCCTGATCTCAGGTGATCCACCCGCCTCAGCCTCCCAAAGTGCTAGGATTACAGGTGTGAGCCACCGTGCCTGACCATCAGCTCGGGATTTTAAGAAACATCCTTAAAAGTAGGAAGAAAGCACATAATACCTGCAAAGCCCTGGGTAAAAATCCTCTTTTACTTCAGTAATGATTACAAAATAATTATTTCTCATAACTTCTAGAAAATTAGAGGAAAACTCATTCCTTCAACATCTCAAGAAACTTAAATACAGATGGTGATTATATATCAGATTGGAACCACAAGCTTTGTTCTGAGTAAAACTGAAAAGAAATGGGGATATCTCCATTTTTGAGTGGTGACCATGGGACCCAAAGTGGTTTGTAAATGACCCTTTATCATCTACACTTGTCAATTTTCAATTGATTCACTCATTTCTTAGAAATCCCTGATAATTCATAATCTTGAAAAAATTTCATGTCCAGATACTAGGCAGGGTAATATGTTTGTTTTAATTTGCTAGGGCTGCCATAACAAAGTACCACACACTGGGTGACGTAAAGAACAGAAAAATTATTGTGCCACAGTTCCAGAGGCTGGAAGTCCAAGATCTTGGTGTTGGCAGTGCACATTTCTTCTGAGGCTTCTTTCCTTGGCTTGTAGATGTGTTTTCCCTGTGTCTTTACATGGTCATTCCTCTGCATCTGTCTATGTCTAATCTTCTCTTTTTATAAGGACACTAGTCACATTGAATTAAGACCCACTCATATGACCTCATTTTACCTTAATGACCTCCTTAAAGACCTCTCCAAATGCAGTCACTTTCTCAGGTACTGGGGGTTAGGACACCAACATGCCAATTTTTGGAGAGATGCAATTTAGCCCATAACAGTCTGGATTAACCTGGAGACTCCTTTTCCTTCCTTCCTTCCTTCCTTCCTTCCTTCCTTCCTTCCTTCCTTCCTTCCTTCCTTCCTTCCTTCCTTTTTTCTTTCTTTCTTTCTTTTTCTTTCTTCTCTTTCTTTTGTTTTCTTTTCTTTTATTGAGATGGAGCCTTGTTCTGTCACCCAGGCTGGAGTGCAGTGGCACGATCTCGGCTCACTGCAACCTCCGCTTCCCAGGTTCAAGCATTTCTCCTGTCTCAGCTTCCCGAGTAGCCGGGATTACAGATGCCTGCCACCACGCCCAGCTAATTTTTGTATTTTTAGTAGAGATGGGGTTTCACCATGTTGGCCAGGCTGGTCTCATACTCCTGACCTTAGGTGATCTATTCACCTCGGCCTCCCAAAATGCTGGGATTACAGGCGCAAGCTACCGCTCCTGGCCGAGATTGCGTTTTCTAAAGAGTAAAACAGAGTAAATCTCTTTGGCTTAACTCTGTCTCTTAATACTCTGAAATTTTGTTCTTGCAGTGAGAACAAAAAAAAAAGACAGCCAAAGGTTGGTGTCACGCAGAAGGTGAGCCCTCCCTAACTCTGGCTGCCCCAAGACGCAGTGCTGTGTCATTCCTGAAAGTTTGCTCCATTCTAGTGATTCTGGCTCCAGCTTTTTCATTGGGAAGAGGATTCTCTCCCAGAGGAAAAACTTCTCCTGCTATGCAGGCTTATTTTCTTTATATTTGTAGGACAAAAAAGTTGATGTAATAAAAAGAATATATTTGTGAAATTTTTGTGGTAATCATTTTGATATCCTTATCAATACCCCATATTGTGATGAACATGTTGGCTTCATTTTGGCAGAAGGGACATGACACTGGACATTTTGAGCCACAATTTCTCTGGGCCTTTCCATGGGATTCAGTTTCTGCCCTGGTAGGTGAAGGGAGAGCTCTTGGTGTAGGGTTTGGTCTTTATAATAAACTATGCTTTTGGGGTAGCAGGTTTATCTCTGGAAGCATGAAGCTTAGTCAGGAGTGCGACCCTCCTCCCCATTCAAAAGGTCAAGGTAGAGCAGGTTCTTGTTCAGGGCGCAGTGAGCGAGAGAAGGGAAAGTGACAGAGCATTCTTTCACCTTTTTGTGACATGCATGCATCCAAGTCTCTGGTGTTTTAAATAACTGAAACTGAGACCTAGATCCACTTATCTGTAAAGTAGAACTGTGGAGAAGGAAGCATATCATCCCCGCCACTGGAGAGATCCCTGAAGAGAGATTTGTGAGCCCCCATTTTATCGAAAATGACACAAAATTTCATCAAAATAAAGTGAAATTGTGGCTGTAGATGGGGTTTTATTTAGAGCTTTGACTCCGCATCTGCTTCCTAAGACATGGTCCTTCCCCAGGATACTACAGAATCACAGGGCTTAGACTGGAGGGGTAAGGCGTGATGGTGTTCTTCCTTTCTGGCCGATAGGATGTTTTGGATTGTATGTATTTTCCAAAGACGGCTGCAGAAGTATCTTCCATCACACTTTGTTTTCTTTAGTTTGATCCACCACTCCCTCATCAAGAGGTAAGTTCTTTCCATCCCCTTAAACATGAGCAGATCTGATATCTGCGTTAGCCAATAAAATAGGGCAGAAACGTGGTTGTGTCAGTTCTGGGCACTGCTGTTAACCATCCTGCCTGCATCTGGTTCCTTCCACTTCAATCCCTGAACCATGTTAAACTCCAAGGCCATCATCTGAGCCCAGCCAACACATAGAACCCTATGAGAGATCATTAAAAATTCTTAGTTACTATTTTCAGGAATATCCTTTTCCATCCTTTCATTTTCAACTTGTATGTGTCCTTAGATCCAAAGTGAGTATCTTGTAGCCAGCATATGGTTAGAATCTTTTTATTATATCCATTGTGATAATCTCAATTCTGATTGGGGAGTTTAATCCATTACATTTAAAGTAATTACTGATGAAGAAGGACTTACCTCTGTAATTGTGATGGTTTTATGCATGTCTTATAGCTGTTTCGTCCCTTATCTTCCTCATTCCAACCTTCCTTTGTGTTTAGTCGATTTTTTTCTAGTGATATGTTTTAATTGCCTTCTCACTTTCTTTTGTGTATATTTTATGTATATTTTCTTTGTGATTACTATGGTATTGCACATAACAATACAACTATAACAATTTTGAATTGAAACCAGTATGAAACTCTGCTTCTTTACATCTTTTTCCACCCCTCATTTTACATTATTGATGTCACAAATTACTCCTCTGCAGGCTAGCAGGCTGGAAAGTCACAATGTTGCAGTCTTCAGTCTAAAATTTGTAAACCAGGCTGGCAGATTGGAAATCTAAACTGTAGTTGCTACTGTCATCTTGAGGCAGAATTTTTTCTTCTTTGAGAAGCCTCACACTTTGCCCAAAGGCCTTCAACTGATTCAAAAAGTCCCGCCCACATTTTTGAGGGTAATTTCTTTTTCATAAAATCAACTGACATAAGATTTTAACCACAAGTGCAAAACACCATCATAGCAACATATAAATTAGTGTTTGATTAAATAACTAGACACTATGGTTTAGTAAAATTGACACATAATACCCACCACCCTAGTCCATGCTTGTGAACTTGGCACCCATTAACGTTTTCTTAAACCATACTTAGTCTCCAAATAAAAACAATTATAAAGTCATACTTTTGCTAAAGATGATACAGCTATCTTGCATCCATCTAAAAACACTAACCATTTCCTCAGAAAAAAATTCAAACTCAATGCATGATAAGCATTTTTCTCTTCGATATACTGTAACCTAAACACCATGTTTAAAAAAAGTTGAACCATCATTAATAAAAGGGAACTATTATTAGCACATTTTATGTTTTATTACAAGATGATAAGGAAAAGATGAAAACAAAGGTATTTGCTTAGTACATGTATGGGTACATACACACAGACATAAATATCATTGTAAAAACATAAGGAAGAAATGCTTATAACATTTACTGTCTTTATTTCTGCAACTGATCACATGGTTACAGCTGGTTATTTATTTATTTATTTACTTATTTATTTATTTGATACAGGGTCTTGTTCTGTTGCCCAGGCTGGAGTGCAGTGGCATTACCTTGGCTCACTGCAAACTCCACCTCCTGGGCACAAGTGATCCTTCTACCTCAACCTCCTAAGTAGCTGGGACTGCAAGCACACCACCAAGTCTGACTAATTTTTTGTATGTATTTTCAGTAGAGATGGAATTTCAGCATGTTGCCCAGGTTGGTCTCACATTCCTCAACTTAAGGAATCCACCTGCCTCAGCCTCCCAAAGTGCTGGGGTTATAGGCATGAGCCACTGTGCTGGCCACAACTAGTGTAAATAGCTTTCTTTCACTAACCATCCCATAGTCCCACTGCCTTCAGCAAGTCCGTCAGCTGATCAGGTTTCTTTTCCTGCTTGGGTGACTCATACCTTCATTCCTGAAGGGCATGGGTCATTAGTAGTCCTGCCTGACTTGGGTTGTTGTAGTTTTTATTGACTTTAATTATAGAGCAGAGTATTACTAAGAGATGCTCTAAAAGATCTCCTGTATTTCAAACATAGTCTTATTTACTGCCATTGTGTAGTAGCAGACCAATTTCCCCCTGATGACCAGGACCAATCACCCCAGAAAGTGCAGTAACTCCTTCCTTTGTCTGTTGATTCAGTAACATGAGGAGCTGAAGGGCCCGGGTGGGTGTCTTAGCTTCCAGCTCAATGGAATAATTTCTGTGTCTCCTGAGGGAGTATTCCTCCCTTTGGTAAACCTCTAGATCCTGATCCTATTCCTCGTGACTGGGCAAGACCTCCCAACCAGGGTCTCCAGTACCTCCTACAGGTGTGTTTGGGCTGGCAACAGGTCTGTACTTTCCTGAGACAGAGCTCCCAAAGGAAAAGGCAGACTACCATCTTTGCTGTTATGTAGCTTTCACTGGTGATATCTCCAGTTACTGGAAAATCTGAGGCAACTGGGGACTGGAGCAGGCCCTCAGCAAACTGCAGTAGCCCTACAGAAAAGTGGCCAGACTGTTGAAAGAGAAAACAAAAGAAGAGAAAAACAAAACCCATTCATAGATCAGCAACCTCAAAGAATGAAGGTAGATAAGCCCACTAAGATGAGAAAGAATCAGCACAACAATGCTGAAAACTCAAAAAGCCAGCAAGGGTTTGGAACCAGGCTAAAGCTGAGATGACTGAAAGAGCAGAAGTAGAATTCAGAATATGGAGAGGGAAGAAGTTCACTGTGCTAAAGGAGTACAGTGTGACCCAATCCAAGGAAGCTAAAAATAATGATAAAACATTGCAGGAGCTGACAGACAAAATAGCCAGTATTATAGAAGAATGAAACCAACCTGATAAAGCTGAAAAACACACTAAAAGAATTTCATAGTGCACTCACAAGTATTAACAGCAGAATAGAACAAGTGGAGGAAAGACTCTCAGTGCTTGAAGACCAGCTTTCTAAAATAAGACAGGAAGACAAGAATAGAGAAAACAGAATGAAAAGGAACAAACAAAACCTCTGAGAAACATCAGATTATGTAAAGAAACTGAATCCATGAATTATTGGTATACCTGAAAGAGATGGGAATAATGGAATCAATTTGGAACACACTTCAAGATATCATCCATGAGAACTTTCCCAACCTAGCTAGACAGACCAACATTCAAATTCAGAAATGCAGAGGACACTAGTAAGTTACTCCATGAGAAGATCATCCCCAAGATACAATCATCAGATTCTCCATGGTTGAAATGAAAGAAAGAACGTTAAGGGCAGCCAGAGAGAAAGGCCAGGTCACCTACAAAGGGAAGCCCATTAGACTAACAGTGGACCTCCAAGTGGAAACCCTACACACCAGAAGAGATTGAGGGCCAGTATTGAACATTGTTAAAGAAAAGAATTTCCAACCCACAATTTCATATCCAGCCAAACTAAGCTTCATAAGCAAAAAAGAAATAAAATTCTTTTCAGACAAACAAATGCCAAGGGAATTCATTACCACCAGACCTGCATTACAAGAACTCCTAAAAGAAGCACTAAATATGGAAAGGAAAGACAGTTACCAGCCACTACAAAAACACGCTGAAGTACATAGACCAGTGACGCAATAAAGCAACCACATAAGCAAGTCTGCAAAGTAACCAGCTAACACCATGATGACAGGATCAAATCCATACATATCAATACTAACCTTAAATGTAAATGGGCTAAATGCCACATTTAAAAGACACAGAAGGGCAAGCTGGATAAAGAACCAAGACCTATCAGTATGCTGCCTACAATACACTCATCTTACATTCAATGACACACATAGGCACAAAATAAAGAGATGGAGGAAAATTTTCCAAGCAAATGGAAAGCGGAAGAAAGCCAGGGTTGCAATCCTAGTTTCTGACAACACAGACTTTAAACCAAGAAAGATAAAAAAAGATAAAGGTGGGCATTACATAATGGTAAAGGGTTCAATTCAATGAAGAGATCTAACTATCCTAAATATATATGCATCCAATAGAGGAACACCCAGATTTATAAGGCAGGTTCTTAGAGACCGTCAAAGAGATTTAGAACCTCACACAGTAGAAGTGGTGGACTTTAATACCCCACTGACAATATTAGACAGATCATCAAGACAGAAAATTAACAAAGATATTCAGGACCTGAATTCAGCCCTGGAGCAAATGGACCTGATAGATATTTACAGAACTCCAGACCCCAGAACAACAGAATATACATTTTTCTCATTGCTACATGGCACTTACCCTAAAATCAATCACGCAATCAGAAGTAAAACACTCCTCAGCAAATGCAAAAGAACTGAAATCATAACAAATAGTCTCTCAGACTACAGTGCAATCAAATTCAAAATCAAGAATAAGAAATTCACTAAAACCATATAATTACTTAGAAATTAAATAACCTGTTCTTGAATGACTTTTAGTAAATAATGAAATTCAGGTAGAAATCAAGAAGTTCTTTGAAACTAATGAGAAAAAAGATACAATGTACCAGAACCTCTGGGAAACAGCTAAGGCAGTGTTAAGAGGGAAATTTATAGCAGTAAATGCCCACATCAAAAAGTTAGAAAGATCTCAAGTCAACAACCTAAAATCAAACCTAAAAGAACTTAAGAATGAAGAGCAAACATATCCCGAAGCTAGCAGAAGACAAGAAATAACAAAAAAAATTAACAAAAGTATTGTCTCCTGAAGGAGACAGAGACACAAAAAACCATTTGAAGGATCAATAAATTCAGGAGGTTTTTTAAAAGAAATTAATAAAATAGACCACTAGCTAAGCTAATAAAGAAGAAAAGAGAGAAAATTCCAATAAACACAATCAGAAACAATAAGAGGAACATTACCACTGACCCCACAGAAATACAAGAAACCACCAGAAAATATTATGAACACTTCTATGCGCATAAACTAGAAAATCTAGAAGAAATGGATAAATTCCTGGACACATACACCGCCCCCAAGACTGAACCAGGAAGAAATGCAATCTCTGAAAAAATAATGAGTTCTGAACTTGAGGCAGTAATGAAGAGCCTACCAAAAAAAAAAAAAAAAGTGCAGGACCAGATGATTGACAGGTGAATTCTACTGGATGTACAAAGAAGAGATGGTACCATTCCTATTGAAACTATTCCCAAAAAATGAGGAGGAGAGACTCCTCCCTAACTCATTCTATTAGGCCAGCATCATCCTGATACCAAAATGTGGCAGAGATACAACAACAACAAACAAGAGAAAACATCAGGCCAGTATTCTTGATGAACATTAATGCAAAAATCTCCAACAAAATGCTGGCAAACCGAATCCTGCAGCACATCAAAAACCTTATCCACCACAATCAAGTAGGCTTCATCGCCAGGATGCAAGGTTAGTTCAACATATGCAAATCAATAAATGTGATTCATCACGTAAACAGAACTAAAGACAAAAACTACATGATTGTCTCAGTTGATGAAGAAAAGGCTTTTGATAAAATTCAAACTCTATTCATGTTTTTAAAAAAACTCTCAATAAACTAGGTGTTCAAGGAATATACCTCAAAACAATAAAAGCCATCTATGACAAACCCACAGCCAACTTCATACTGAATGGGCAAAACTAGAAGCATTCTCCTTGAAATCAGCACAAGACAAGGATGCCCTCTCTCACTGCTCCTGTTCAACACAGTATCGGAAATTCTGACCAGGGCAATCAGGCAAGTGAAATTAAAAAAAAAAAAAAAAAAAAAAGAAGGATGTTCAAATAGGACGAGAGGAATTCAAATGATTCCTGTTTGCAGATGACATGATTCTATAACTAGAAAAACCCATAGCCTCAGTCCAAAAGCTTCTTAAGCTGATAAACAACTTCAGCAAATTCTCAAGATACAAAATCAATGTGCAAAAATTACTAGCATTTCTACACACTGACAACAGGCAAGCCAAGAGCCAAAGCAGGAATGAACTCCCACTCACAATTGCCACAAAAAGAATACAATACCTAGGAATAATGCTAATTTGGGAGGTAAAAGATGTCTGCAAGGAGAACTACTGGTCCCAAAAAGTGTGCATTAATGTTAGCAGTAGCTATGATAGGCTGGGTGGAATGCCCATAGGTGGTGTTTGCAGGTAGGTGACAGCTAAGGTGATAGCACCCAACCTCGGTTACCCAGGAGGAGTTCTCAGGTGTCCACAGTGGTGGATTGGGTTGAGCAATTCCCAGGACCCTGGGCTGTGTTCTCTGTCTCAGTGGAAAAAGGAAATGAAGCTGTCTTTTCATCACTAAATGCTGTGCCAACTAGTCCCTTAATTTTCTTTTTGCCTGAAGGACTGAAACATTTATTATAGTTTAGATCTGCTAGTTATAACTTTTTTCACTCCCTATATAACTAAAATCTATTTTTCAATAGCTATATTCATGGTATGTTAATTGGTTAATTAGTTTGATTTAATCATTACACATGGTATACATATATCAGTACATCACACAACATCTCATGAATGTATTATGATTTGTCAATTTAAATTATACATATATATGTTTTAGAAAGGTATTATTTTCTGGGAATAGAATCTAGTTTCACAGTATTTTCCTTTTAGGACTTTAAAGATGTTGCTCATCTGTCTTCTCATTTGCATTGTTTCCAGTGAAATAACGGCTGTCATCTTTATTATTATTCTCATGTCTTTTTTTTTACTTTCTGCTTATTCATTTTTCTCTCCTTCTGTTTTCAACAAATACATGTTTTTTTCACCCACAGTTATAGAATGAACTTGAGCAACAATCTATAGGAATGGCTTTTTGACTGTTGGTTGAAAATTTTTAGAAACAGTTGTTTGTTCCTTGTTTTATTAGGACAAAGGCTAATTTCCTCAGAATATTCTTAAATTGAAGAATGTCATAATTAATTTTATTTGTCATCTTGGCTGAACCACAGTGCCCAGATAGGTGATCAAGCATTATTCTGGATGATTTGTGAGAATGTTTCTTGGATAACATTAATGCAAAATAACTAGACTTTGAGTAAAGTAGATTGATCTCTATAATGTGGGTGGGCTTCATTCAATTCATTGAAGGTGTAAATTGAACAAAACATTGACCTTCTCTGAGCAAGATGGAACTCTGCAGCAGACAGCGCTGGGATTTGAACTGCAATATCCGTCAACTGATCTCAAACAGCTGGTTGGTTTGTGTACAGCATTTGGAAGATGAATGGACAACATCCTGTTTGGAAGTCCACCACTTTGATCGAAGAAGATAAAAACAGAACAACTCTTGTGGGCTGAATTGCAGGGTGTTTCTCAGCAGTAGTGGAAGAATTGAACAATAATAAAGCTCCTATGTTTTAGTTTTTATTGACTTACAGGCAGTGACTAATGGCCTGGCCATATAATTAATCAGGAAAGCAAAGGAAAACTTGCTGATGAAAAGAGTGCCCAAATGAGACACAGTCCTATGGAAATCACGATGGTAATTTGAGAGGTTCATTAATGTAAGACACGTTGATGCCTGATATAGAGTGGATGTTGTTCTTGCCCGAATCTCATGTTGGATGGAATCCCCAGCATTAGAGGTGGGACCTGCAGGGAGGTGATTGGATCACGGGGGCAGTTTCTCATGAATGGTTTAGCACCGTCCCCTCAGTGCCCATCAATGCCCATCAGAATAACTCCCTTCCAGGTTTGGAAGGTGATTGAAATAAACAAGCATTTATCGCCAAGTGTTTGCCAGGTGCACCTGTAATTCCAGCTATGACAACAGCTGAGGCAGAAGGATATCTTGAGTCCAGGAGTTAGAGTTTGGCCTGAGCAGCACTTGAGTCCAGCCAGAGAAAGATATCAAGACCACATCTAAAAAAAATCCACATTTGCTTGTGGTGATCACCTGGGTCCATGAAATAAGTAGACACTGGGGCTGTAGCAATGCAGAGAGAGATGGAATCAAGGCATATTCCTCTTGCATTCCCCACATCACAGGCACAAAATACATATAAGTGTTTTCTTTAACAAAAAAAAGAGAGAGAGACAGAGATAGCATATGGCTATGTGGCAGATTCTTTTATGGGAAGATCTTGAAAATACAGAGCTGGCAAGTTACACTGATACCAGTAGCCCCAGGAAGCAGCAAATGGGTCTTGGCAGCAATAGATACGCACCCTGGAGCTGGGCATTGCTCAGCTGCTGGTAGATGTGTTACCAAACAGAACTGGAGTCCACTCACCTGGGGCAGTAAAAACAAACATCCATACTGAGATTTTGTAGTGAGATAAAGGAGGGCATTTATTTGTAGGGTGCCAAGCAAGGAGAATCAGCCAGCTCACAGTTAAGACCCAACCTCCTCAATGGCTCACAAGCAAGGTTTCTTAAAGATAGGGGTAAATTTCAGGAAAGCAGAGTTACAGGCAACATCATAAATCAATGCATAGAAGTTACACACTGGTTTGGCCTTAAAAGGAGGAATATCCTGATGAGGGAGCTTACAAGTCGTAGATAGAGATAAAGATTCTCTGATTTGTGATTCATAAGGAAGCAAAGCTTCCTTACACAGTTGGGGGCAGTAGAGAGGAATGTTCAGGCCTGGCCTGTGGGCTTTACTCTCTCCAGGCCCCTCAGGAAGAAATTTAGAACAAAGAACAGTGGTCAGAGTTCAGTCCTCAGTTTCCCCTTATCTGAGGTCTTCCTGTCAGTGGATCTATTAGGTGGGAATCTGAGTTTCTGAAAAACAACTCAGGGACATATATTAAGATGTTCTCTTTAGTTTCCATAGAGAATCCAACATCTTGTGACTCTAACTTCCTTGGCTATCGTTTTAAGCTATCATTACCTTCTTGTTTATAAGGTCACTCACTTAATTTTTAGGGCTGGCTAGGTGCCTGGAATTTCTTTTGAAGGAACTGAAGGTTTTTCTTTATTTCCATGTTGGGAGGCCCTGGCAGGCTTCTAAGAGAGGTCCCTGCTTTATCTCAGATGCAAATGCTCGGAGTGCTACTAAGAGCTTGAATGGGAGGTACTGCAACCATGTGGACCACTGAGTCACATTTCTTTACACCAGAAAATGCGCTTGCTCAAAATGTCAGAAAGACATCCTTCTCAGAGGAAGAGTTCCATAGAGAATTAAAATATTCCATTGAAACATTGGTTGTATAAAGCAAGAGTGGGGAAACAAGCATGAAGGGTGGGCTTACACACCTTCATGAGTGTGCTTACACTTGATATGAAAGTATCCTCTCTTTTCCTTGTGGATCAGGGGAAGGTACTGGTGTGATCTATATACAATCCTTCCCAAGGTGGGAGGACACTGGAATGATGACTGTACTTTACCTCAACTTGCTTTTCTCATACCTGATGCAGTGGTCTCAGGACTAGGGATGCAAATAAAAGTCCAGAAACAGGAATTATTCCTAAGCAAGAAACTGTAAATATATTTTGTGTCCATTATGTAATGATTCCTAAGGGTCTGGAGAAGTAGGTCGTGCCTTCAGTGCATCTGGCAAAGCTGGGGTTAACACTGAATGCAGCTGTATTGCCTGGGGTCAGATAGCCAACCAGTTCTCTACTGCATAACCCTACCCTCTATGAACTGGAATGGATGATGCAAGACAATTGCTAGAACAGTATTGGTCCGTGCAGTCTAGGTCAGCACAGCAGCAGAACCTCATGTCCCTTCCATAACTAGAAATGTTTGGTATAAATGAAGAGAAGGAGAAATAGTAGCTGAGGGTAAATGAATGAATAAATGGGTTATGCAATGAGGAAAATCCAATGTTACATGAACTACTCAAAAGAGATATAAGCAAGAGATGATATTGTCTCTTAACTCAATTTTACCAAATGCCTGAACGGGTGCAGCCTTATGTTGCTGAGACTACTTCTGTTTTTGGGCTGCACCGGGATAATTTTTTTTTTTATTATACTTTAAGTTCTAGGGTACATGTGCACAACATGCAGGTTTGTTACCTATGTGTACATGTGCCATGTTGGTGTGCTGCACCCATTAACTCGTCATTTGCATTAGGTATTTCTCCTAATGCTATCCCTCCCCCCTGTCCCCACCCCATGACAGGCCCTGGTGTGTGATATTCCCCACCCTGAGTTCAAGTGTTCTGATTGTTCAATTCCCACCTATGGGTGAGAACATGCAGTGTTTGGTTTTCTGTCCTTGTGATAGTTTGCTCAGATGAAGTTCCAGCTTCATCCACATCCCTGCAAAGGACATGAACTCATCCTTTTTTATGGCTGCATAGTATTCCATGGTGTATTTGTGACACATTTTCTTTTTTTCTTTTTTCTTTTTGAGATGGAGTCTCGCTCTGTCGCCCAGGCTGGAGTGCAGTGGTGCGATCTCGCTCACTGCAAGCTCTGCCTCCTGGGTTCATGCCATTCTCCTGCCTCAGCCTCCCAAGTAGCTGGGACTATAGGCACCCGCCACCATGACCAGCTAATTTTTTTGTATTTTTAGTACAGACGGGTTTTCACTGTATTAGGCAGGATGGTCTTGATCTCCTGACCTCGTGATCCACCCACCTCAGCCTCCCAAAGTGCTGGGATTACAGGTATGAGCCACTGCACCCGGCTTATGTGCCACATTTTCTTAATCCAGTCTATCACTGATGGACATTTGGGTTGGTTCCAAGTATTTTCTATTGTGAATAGTGCAATAAACATACATGTGCATTTATAGTAGCATGATTTATAATCCTTTGGGTATATACCCAGTAATGGGATGGCTGGGTCAAATGGTATTTCTAGTTCTAGATCCTTGAGGAATTGCCACACTGTCTTCCACAATGGTTGAACTAGCTTACACTCCCACCAACAGTGTAAAAGTGTTCCTATTTCTCCACATGCTCTCCAGCACCTGTGGTTTCCTGACTTTTTAATGATTGCCATTCTAACTGGTGTGAGATAGTATCTCCTTTTGGTTTTGATTTGCATTTCTTTGATGACCAGTGATGATGAGCATTTTTTCATGTGTTTGTTGGCTGCATAGATGTCTTCTTTTGAGAAGTGTCTGTTCATATCCTTTGCCCACTTTTTGATGGGGTTGATTTTTTCTTGTAAATTTGTTTAAGTTCTTTGTAGATTCTGGATATTAGTCCTTTGTCAGATGGGTAGATTACAAAAATTTTCTCCCATTCTGTAGGTTGCCTGTTCACTCTGATGGTAGTTTCTTTTGCTGTGCAGAAGCTCTTTAGTTTAATTAAATCCCATTTGTCAATTTTGGCTTTTGTTGCTATTGCTTTTGGTGTTTCAGTCATGAAGTCCTTGCCCATGTCTATGTCCTGAATGGTATTGCCTAGGTTTTCTTCTAGGGTTTTTATGATTTTAGGTCGAACATTTAAGTCTTTAATCCATCTTGAATTAATTTTTGTATAAGGTCTAAGGAAGGGATCCAGTTTCAGCTTTCTACTATGGCTAGCCAGTTTTCCCAGCACCATTTATTAAATAGGGAATCCTTTCCCCATTTCTTGTTTTTGTCAGGTTTGTCAAAGATCAGATAGTTGTAGATGTGTGATATTATTTCTGAGGGTTCTGTTCTGTTCCATTGGTCTATATCTCTGTTTTGGTTCCAGTACCATGCTGTTTTTGTTACTGTAGCCTTGTAATATAGTTTGAAGTCAGGTAGCGTGATGCCTCCAGCTTTGTTCTTTTGGCTTAGGATTGTCTTGGCAATGCAGGCTCTTTTTTGGTTCCATATGAACTTTAAAGTAGTTTTTTCCAATTCTGTGAAGAAAGTCATTGGTAGCTTGATGGGGATGGCATTAAATCTATAAATTAGCTTGGGCAGTATGGCCATTTTCACGACATTGATTCTTCCTATTCATGAGCATGGAATGTTCTTCCATTTGTTTATGTCCTCTTTTATTTCGTTGAGTAGTGGTTTGTAGTTCTCCTTGAAGAGGTCCTTCACATCCCTTGTAAGTTGGATTCCTAGGTATTTTATTCTCTTTGAAGCAATTGTGAATGGGAGTTCACTCATGATTTGGCTCTCTGTTTGTCTGTTATTGGTGTATAAGAATACTTGTGATTTTTGCACATGGATTTTGTATCCTGAGACTTTGCTGAAGTTGCTTATCAGCTTAAGGAGATTTTGGGCTGAGATGATGGGGTTTTCTAAACATCCAATCATGTCATCTGCAAACAGGGACAATTTGACTTCCTCTTTTCCTAATTGAATACCCTTTATTTCTTTCTCTTGTCTGATTGCCCTGGCCAGAATTTCCAACACTATGTTGAGTAGGAGTGGTGAGAGAGGGCATCCCTGTCTTGTGCCAGTTTTCAAAGGGAATGCTTCCAGTTTTTGCCCATTCAGTATGATATTGGCTGTGGGTTTGTCATAAATAGCTCTTATTATTTTGAGATATGTCCCATCAATACCTAGTTTATTGAGAGTTTTTGGCATGAAGGGCTGTGGAATTTTGTTGAAGGTCTTTTTGGCATCTATTGAAATAATCATGTGGTTTTTGTCTTTGGTTCTGTTTATATGCTGGATTATGTTTATTGATTTGTGTATGTTGAACCAGCCTTGCATCCCAGGGATGAAGCCCACTTGATCATGGTGGATAAGCTTTTTGATGTGCTGCTGGATTCGGTTTGCCAGTGTTTTACTGAGGATTTTTGCATCCATGTTCATCAGGGATATTGGTCTAAAATTCTCTTTTTTTTTGTTGTGTCTCTGCCAGGCTTTGGTATCAGGATGATGCCAACCTCATAAAATAAGTTAGGGAGGATTCCCTCTTTTTCTATTGATTGGAATAATTTCAGAAGGAATGGTACCAGCTCCTCTTTGTACCTCTGTTAGAATTTGGCTGTGAATCCATCTGGTCCTGGACTTTTTTTGGTTGGTAGGCTATTAATTATTGCCTCAATTTCAGAGCCTATTATTGGTCTATTCAGGGGTTCAACTTCTTTCTGGTTTAGTCTTGGGAGGGTGTATGCGTCCAGGAATTTATCCATTTCTTCTAGATTTTCTAGATTATTTGCATAGAGATGTTTATAGTATTCTCTGATGGTAGTTTGTATTTCTGTGGGATTGGTGGTGATATCCCCTTTATCATTTTTTATTGTGTCTATTTGATTCTTCTCTCTTTTCTTCTTTATTAGTCTTGCTAACGGTCTATCAGTTTTGTTGATCTTTCCAAAAAAACCAGCTGCTGGATTCATTGATTTTTTGAAGGGTTTTTTGTGTCTCTATCTTCTTCAGTTCTGCTCTAATCTTAGTTATTTCTTGTCTCCTGCTAGCTTTTGAATGTGTTTGCTCTTGCTTCTCCAGTTCTTTTAATTGTGATGTTAGGCTGTCGATTTTAGATCTTTCCTGCTTTTTCTTGCAGGCATTTAGTGCTACAAATTTCCCTCTACACACTGCTTTAAATGTGTCCCAGAGATTCTGGTATGTTGTGTCTTTGTTCTCATTGGTTTCAAAGAACATCTTTATTTCTACCTTCATTTCGTTATGTACCCAGTAGTCATTCAGGAGCAGGTTGCTCAGTTTCCATGTAGTTGAGTGGTTTTGAGTGAGTTTCTTAATCCTGAGTTCTAATTTGATTGCACTGTGGTCTGAGAGACAGTTTGTTATAATTTCTATTCTTTTACATTTGCTGAGGAGTGCTTTACTTCCAACTATGTGGTCAATTTTGGAATAAGTGTGATATGGTGCTGAGAAGAAGGTATTTTCTGTTGATTTGGGGTGGAGAGTTCTGTCGATGTCTATTAGGTCTGCCTGGTGCAGAGCTGAGTTCAAGTCCTGGATATCCTTGTTAACTTTCTGTCTCGTTGATCTGTCTAATGTTGACAGTGGGGTGTTAAAGTCTCCCATTATTATTGTGTGGGAGTCTAAGTCTTTTTGTAGTTCTCTAAGGACTTGCTTTATGAATCTGGGTGCTCCTGTATTGGGTGCATATATATTTAGGATAGTTAGCTCTTCTTGTTGAATTGATTCCTTTACCATTACGTAATGGCCTTCTTTGTCTCTTTTGATCTTTGTTGGTTTAAAGTCTGTTTTATCAGAGACCAGGATCGCAACCCCTGCTTTTTTTGTTTTCCATTTGCCTGGTAGATCTTCCTCCATTCCTTTATTTTGAGCCTATGTGTGTCTCTGCACGTGAGATGGGTTTCCTGAATACAGCACACTGATGGGTCTTGATTCTTTATCCAATTTGCCAGTCTGTGTCTTCTAATTGGGGCATTTAGCCCATTTACATTTAAGGTTAATATTGTTATGTGTGAATTTGACCCTATCGTTATGATGTTAGCTGGTTATTTTGCCCGTTAGTTGATGCAGTTTCTTCCTAGCATCGATAGTCTTTACAATTTGGCATATTTTTGCAGTGGCTGGTACTGGTTGCTCCTTTCCATGTTAGTGCTTCCTTCAGGAGCTCTTGTAAGGCAGGCCTGGTGGTGACAAAACCTCTCAGCATTTGCTTGTCTGTAAAGGCTCTTATTTCTCCTTCACTTATGAAGCTTAGTTTGGCTGGTTATGAAATTCTGGGTTGAAAATTCTTTTCTTTAAGAATGTTGAATATTGGCCCCCACTCGCTTCTGGCTTGTAGAGTTTCTGCCAAGAGATCCACTGTTAGTCTGATGGGCTTCCCTTTGTGGGTAACCTGACCTTTCTCTCTGGCTGCCCTTAACATTTTTTCCCTCATTTCAACCTTATTGAATCTGACAATTATGTGTCTTTGGGTTGCTCTTCTTGAGGAGTATCTTTGTGGCGTTCTCTGTATTTCACGAATTTGAATGTTGGCCTGCCTTGCTAGGTTGGGGAAGTTCTCCTGGATAATATCCTGAAAAGTGTTTTCCAACTTGGTTCCATTCTCTCTGTCATTTTCAGGTACACCAATCAAATGTAGATTTGGTCTTTTCACATAGTCCCATATTTCTTGGAGGCTTTGTTCATTTCTTTTTACTCTTTTTTCTCTCAACTTCTCTGCTTGCTTCATTTCATTCATTTGATCTTCAATCACCGATACCCTTTCTTCCACTTGATCGCATTGGTTACTGAAGCTTGTGCATGCGTCATGTAGTTCTCATGCCATGGTTTTCAGCTCCATCAGGTCATTTAAGTTCTTCTCTATGCTGTTTATTTTAGCTAACTATTCATCTAATCTTTTTTCAAGGTTTTTAGCTTCCTTGCGATGGGTTCGAACATCCTCCTTTAGCTCAGAGAAGTTTGTTATTACCAATCTTCTGAAGTCTACTTCTGTCAACTTGTCAAAGTCATTCTCCATCCAGCTTTGTTCCATTGCTAGGGAGGAGTTGCGATCTTTTGGAGGAGAACAGGTGCTCTGATTTTTAGAATTTTTAGCTTTTCTGCTCTGGTTTCTCCCCATCTTTGTGGTTTTATCTACCTTTGGTCTTTGATGATGGTGACCTACAGATGGGGTTTTGGTGTAGATGTCCCTTTTGTTGATGTTATTCCTTCTGTTTGTTAGTTTTCATTCTAACAGTCGGGACCCTCAGCTGCAGGTCTATTGGAGTTTGCTGGAGGTCCACTCCAGACCCTGTTTGCCTGGGTAACACTAGCAGAGGCTTCAGAACAGCAAATATTGCAGAACAGCAAATGTTGCTGCCTGATCCTTCCTGTGGAAGTTTCGTCTCAGAGGGGCACCCGGCCGTATGAGGTGTCATTCGGTCCCTACTGGGAGGTGTCTCCCAGTTAGGCTACTCAGAGGTCAGCGACCCACTTGAGGAGGCACTCTGTCCGTTCTCAGATCTCAAACTCCATGCTGGCAGAACCACTGCTCTCTTCAAAGCTGTCAGACTGGGACATTTAAGTCTGCAGAAGTTTCTTCTGCCTTTTGTTCAGCTATGCCCTGCCCCCAGAGGTGGAGTCTACAGAGGCAGACAGGCCTTGTTGAGCTGCAGTGGCCTCCACCTAGTTTGAGCTTCCTGCCACTTTGTTTACCTAGTCAAGCCTCAGCAATGGCAGACGCCCCTCCCCCAGCCTCACTGTCACCTCCCAGTTCAATTTTGGACTGCTGTGCTAGCAGTGAGCAACGCTCCATGGGTGTGAGACCCACTGAGCCAGGCATGGGATATAATCTCCTGGTGTGCCATTCACTACAACTGTTGGAAAAGCACAGTATTAGGGTGGGAGTGTCCCGATTTTCCAGGTACCATCTCTCATGGCTTCCCTTGGCTAGGAAAGGGAATTCTCCGAGCCCTTGTGCTTCCCTGGTGAGGCAATGCCTTGCCCTGCTTCAGCTCACATTCTGTGGGCAGCACCCACTGTGTGACAAGTCCCAATGAGATGAACCCAGTACCTCAGTTGGAAATGCAGAAATCACCCGTCTTCTGCACCGCTCACGCTGGGAGCTGTAGACTGGAGCTGTTCCTATTTGGCTATCTTGGAACGATCTCCCCTGGGATAATTTTTCATGACCAAAAAGGATTCTGGTAATGTGCCAGGATCTTCTCACTGTTATGATTCTTCTGGTATAGGAGATCTGTGATTGGCCAGGCACAGTGGCTCAGACTTGTAATTCCATCAGTTTCGGAGGCCATGGTAGGAGGATTGTTTAAGGCCAGGAGTTTGAAACCAACCGGGGCAAAATAGTGAGACCCCATTCCTACAAAATCTTTAAAAAATTAGTTGGGCATGCTGGTGTGTACCTGTAATGCTATTGCTCAGGAGGCTGAGGCAGGAGGATCACTTGAGCCCAGGAATTCAAGGTTACAATGAGCTATGATTGTGCCACTGCATTCTACCCTGGGCAACAGAGCAAGACCTTGTCTCTGAAATAAATAAATATTATAAAAAGAGATAATGTGGTCAAAGACCAGGGTGTGATCTGTGGCCCAATCAAAATATCTGGTCTTTTTCCCTGTTTCCTGACAAGCAGGTTCCAAAACATTTGCAATCTCCTCAGTGATAAGTATGACTTTAATATGCCAATGAGATGACTATGGGGTGAGGGGCTCCTAAATAGCTTCAGGATGGGGGCTGGTTGCCAGAAACATGAAGCTGTGATTAGAGGATTGGAAATTTCAGCAGTATCCCTTACCTCTGAGAAGCAAAGGGGGCTGGAAGTTGAGTTCAGTCACCAGTGGCCATTGATTTAATTAATCTTGCCTACACAATGAAACTTCCATAGAAACCTCTAGAGATTGGGTTTTGGAGAGCTTCCCAATTGCTGAGCACATCCGTGTGTCCATGTGCTGGGAGGATGGTGAACCTCATCTCCATGGGGACAGAGGCTCCTGTGCTCAGAGCCCTCCCAGACCACACCCTGTGCACCTCTTCATCTGGTTGCTCATTTGTACCCTTTATAACTGCTATGGTTTGAATGTTTCCCTAGAAAAGCATCTCTTGGATAATTTATCCTGAATGCAACATTTTTAAGAGGCGGGACCTTTGAGAGGTGATTGGACCATCAGAGCTCTGCCTCCATTAATGAATTAAGTCTGATCATAAAAGGACCTGAGGCTGTGAGTTTGACCTCTTATTCCCCCTACCTCTCACCCTCTCTTGCCCTTTTGCTTTCTACCAGGTACAGTCCTTGGTCTTGGAATTCCCATCCTCAACAACCATGAACCAAATAAATTTCTGTTCGTTTTAAGTTATCCAGTCTCAGGTGTTCTACTATAGTGGCATAATTTAAACCAAGAGTCCGTAACCCCCGGCTGTGGACTGGTACAGGTTCCTGGCTTGGCAGGAACCAGACCACACAGCAGGAGGTCACTGGTGGGTGATAGAGCATGAGCATGACCACCTGAGCTCTGCCTCCTGTTAGATCAGTGGCGGAATTAGATTCTCATAAGAGCATGAACCCTATTGTGAACTCTGCATGTGAGGGATCTAGGTTGCATGCTCCATATGAAACAGTAATGCCTGATCATCTTAGGTGGAACAGTTTCATCCTCAATCCATTCCCCTCTATTCCCTGCCACCTCTGCTGGTCCATGGAAAAACTGTCTTCCATGAAATTGGTCCCTGGTGCCAAAAAGTTGGGACCACTGATTTAAGCTATAACAATAATAAACTACAATACTGAGTGTGAAAGAAAAACAAAATTTAGGGACGCCAAATTCACTATACCAAAGGGACAAGTTAAGTTTGGTAACTGAGTGATGGAAAAACCGCCTTTCTTTTGTTCCTAAACAAATAACTGCAAAGATAGAGGAACATATATCTCCCCAGGTGGCCTCCCTCACAAATTGCTCACAAGATAATTCCTTGTGGGCCCCAACATCTTTACTCTAAAACAGAGTTTTGTTGAATTTCACCCTAACAATGTAAATTAACAGCTTATCTTCACAGGTGAAGGACAAAGACAAGACCAGAAATCATCCCTCCACTCACCTGGAGACAAATGTGTATTTGACTTCTCTACCCAACATTTACTTTGTCTTATGTAAAATGCAGATTTACTGAGCACTCGATGAAAGCATAGTTGACTGTTCCTTTTTCCTCTCCTGCCTGCTCTTTCTCCTGTAAATATTAAAGTCCTCAAAACCCTCTTAGTAAAAAGCATGGGCCTCAGATGCTACAATAATTTGTGTCTCTGTTTCCAAGGTACATCTTCAGCTTGGCAAAATAAACTTCTAAATTGATTGATACCTGTCTCAGATGTTTTTTGGTTTACATGGTTATAGCAACTTCCTGAGTTCTTTGAGTTAGTTTAAGAATTCCCAAACCTTGGGAGGTGAGAAACCCCTGACATTGCAGCCATGATAGACAGAAGTGCAGGTAACCTGGAACCCGATAACTTGTGACTTGCATCTGAAGTGAGGACAGACTTGTGGGACTGAGTCCTTAAACCTGTGGAGTCTGAGGCTAACTCCAGGTAGTTAGTGTCAGAATTGAGTCAAATTCTAGGACTCCCAATTGCTGTTGGAGAATCAGAAAATTATTTGGCTGGAGGAAAATCCCATCACCATCCCACAGAGAGAAACTTACAGTATATTGGGGGAACCCACCCCCAATATTTCAACATAGGTTCTTTCTATTTTCCATAAGTGTCGGCCAGCTGAGAAATAAAGAAAGACAGTACAAAGAGAGGAATTTTACAGCTGGGCCACCAGGGGTGACATCACATATCGGTAGGACCGTGATGTCTGCCTGAGTCTCAGACCAACAAGTTTTTATTAAGGGTTTCAAAAGGGGAGGGGGTGTAAGAACAAGGAGTAGGTAAAAAGTCACATGCTTCTGAGTGCAAAAAGCAGAACTACTAATAAGAGTCTAACAAAGATCACATGCTTCTGAGGGAACAAGACAAAGGGCAAAAGCAGAACCACTGATAAGGGTCTATGTTTAGCAGTGCACGTATTGTCTTGATAAACATCTTAAACAACAGAAAACAGGGTTTGAGAGCAGAGAAGTGGTCAGACCACAAGTTTACCAGGGCAGAGTTTTTCCCCACCCTAGTAAGCCTGAGGGTTCTGCAGGAGACCAGGGCATATCTCAGTCCTTATCTCAACTGCATAAGACAGACATTCCCAGAGCGGCCGTTTATAGACCTCCCCCCAGGAGTGAATTCCTTCTCCAGTGTATTAATATTAATATTCCTTGCTAGGAAAAGAATTTAGTGATATCTTTCCTACTTGCACGTCTGTTTATAGGCTCTGCGCAAGAAGAAAAATATGGCTGTTTTTGCCCAACCTCGCAGGCAGTCAGACCTTATGGTTGTCTTCCCTTGTTCCATAAAAATTGCTGTTATTCTATTCTTTTTCAAGGTGCACTGATTTCATATTGTTCAAACACACGTTTTACAATCAAATTGTAACACAATTATCACAGTGGTCCTAAGGTGACGTACATCCTCAGCTTATGAAGATAACAGGATTAAGAGATTAAAGTAAAGACAGGCATAAGAAATTATAAAAGTATTATTTGGGAACTGTTAAATGTCCATAATAAAATGAAATCTTCACAATTTATGTTCCTCTGCCGCAGCTCCAGCCAGTCCCTCATTCGGGGTCCTTGACTTCCCGCAACAACAGTAAGAGTAAGCAAGTAAACCTCTACCTTCTTCGGTCCCAGAGGAAAAGATAAAAAAAATTAAGCATTTATTTCATGTCCCTAAGTCTGCTAAACACAGGTTTCTACCAGCTGTTCATTGTCCAGACATGGAGTGGCCCTACCTCTAATCTAGAAGTTAGGATTTTTTAGGCCTTTGAGGGGGTCACATAAAAACTAATAAGTGTCAGAGATTCTCTCCCCAGAAATATTTCCACACACAAGAAAATATAAATATTAATATAAAACATCAGTGTGCAACCAGATCCTCTGAGATCTTACAAACCTGGGTGTTTTAATCCCAGTAAGAGACAATGCCAAGGGAAGATGTGTGAATAATCATTTCACCATCACACCATGCCACTCCAATAATCTGGAGTATGAACTGGGATAGACAAAAACTTGATGTAATAACTTATTTTCAAGGGAATGGGTGGAAAGATGTTATTTATTAGTCACCGGTTCATTCAGACACTCTGAATCCCTACCAGATACTAGATAAATTTCTTGTCTTGGAGCACTGCTCCAATAATTAAAATTTATCATTCTTTTCCCACCCTTCACACTCCAGCACTTGAACCCTCTTACTACATCAGAATTCCACACTGTCAATGAAAAGAGGCAAACTTCATAAAATATTTGAAGAGATTTATTCTGAGCCAAATACGAGTGACCACAGCCCATGACACGTCCCTCAGGAGACCCTGAGAGCATGTGCTCAATGTGGTTGGGGTATGGGTTGTTTTTATACATTTTAGGAAGATATGAGACACTAATAATATATATTTAAGATATACATTGGTTCAGTCCAGAAAAGCAGAACAATTTGAAGCAAGCGAGGGTTGGGGGTTACTGCTTCTAGGTTATAGGTAGATTTTAAAATGTTCTGATTGGCAATTGGTTGAGTTATTATCAATAAAAAGCAATGTCTGGGTTATGATAAGAGGTTGTGGAGTCCAAAATTTTATCATGCAGTTGAAGCCTCCAGGTGCCAGGCTTCAGAGAGAA
Organism: Homo sapiens; assembly: GCF_000001405.40. Taxonomy (NCBI): domain Eukaryota; kingdom Metazoa; phylum Chordata; class Mammalia; order Primates; family Hominidae; genus Homo; species Homo sapiens. The sequence goes on from NT_167246.2 coordinate 2,574,283, forward strand.
TAGATTATAATGTTTCTGATCAGACTTAAGGTCTGTGTTGATGTTAATTGCTGGTCAGCTTTTCCTGAATTCCAAAAGGGAAGAGGCCATAATGAGGCATGTTCAACACCTGCTTCCCATGGTGGCCTGAGCCAGTCTTTCAAGTTAATTTTTGAGCGCCCTGGCTGAGGAGGGTGTCCATTAAGATGGTTGGGAGAGGGTGGGTTTGAAGTTTATTTTCGGTTTACAACATGTAAAGTGTTAAGAGGAGATAGAAACCACCCCCATCCCTAGAAGAGCACAACACTCCAGTCACCCCTGCAGTTGATAATGGACATGAGTCTTAAACTCCATCAGTCAGATGACCACCTGCTGAAGCAGCATTGTTGTCTCAGGTAAATACTCAGGGTTCATTGTATCTCACCAAGAAGATTAAGGACAGTGACACACAAGGAGTGAGTTTATTGGCCGGTGCTATGTTGTCTGCTCTTTACTGAACACATGGCTGGCAAAAAGAAGGGAAGATGGAGCCATCATTGTGAACACGCCTAGTCCCAGATGTCCTTTTCCTATTGGCACAGCTGCCAGCATTCACTCGTGCAAGCTTCCAGCTTGCTTGTCTATGTCTGAAGCTTGATTTTACAGGCTGGTCTTTGTCAGAAAAGAAAACGATTTGGAGCCTGCTTTCCATTAAAAAGAAAACCTTACTGAGACTTCTGTACCCTCACTACCTGCCTAAATAATTTCTTCTTAAATCCTATATCACTGCCAGACTCTGAGCTAGAATGAGGTGACACAGAAAGGCTGGGATTGTGCAGAATGCATTTTAGTAAACATGGCTGAGTGTCAGTAGTGATGTCCAGTTGCCAGGGGCAGCAGTGACATCTATCCTAGCCTTGGGGTCCAGTGTCCAGCACCAGGATGTCAGAGGTGTGAGCAGTGGTGTCTGTGCTCAGCAGCAGGGGCAGTTGTTCCTAGGAGGGACCTGATCCAGGGGCGTGGGCTATGGATTCTTTTCTGGGATGTGTAGTTTTCAGCCTGGTTCTGTGGCCTTCCCCACAATAAAATTAACCCCCAATACCAGGTATACTACTTTATGTATAAATTACAGAAATTTGTTTTCCATAGTTTTCTCCAAGAGGTGAGTGAGAAATGAATCTACGGACCAGGGTCAGAGAGCAGCATTCGGAGGTGTTCCTTGTGTGACAGCCACATCCTGAATTGTCTACCTGGCCTCTACCTCATGGTGGAGAGATCAACAGGGATTATCACATCTCTTAACTGATGATATACATCCTCCCTTTCCTTTCTGCAAGAAAAATCCTCTTTTAAACAGGGTTTGAAAACCCACCCACCCACCCTGGGCACTCTCTGATCTCTGAGGTTCCTGATCTGGCTGAGCAACAAGATTTCTGGTGGAGGCTTAGAAAATACTCAGGCCACTCCTCAGCACCCCTGTCTCACAATATTATGCACAAGACCAAGGAATCATTTACATAACAAGCCCTACAGGTGAGGCCGATGCAGACGTGGGGTCCTGGTGTTCTGGCTACTCCAAGTGTGATCTGGAGACCAGCAATGTGAGCTCCAGCCTTGTCATAAATCCAGAATCTCTTGCTCGACTCCAGACTTCCTGGATCTCAGCACCACATCCAGGTGATCCTGGTGCACACGGGAGTTCCTTGTCTAAGCGTCCTCTAGACGTGGGGCCAGAACTGTGCAGTCTGCTCTGTGGTCTGATCAGATCCCTTAGAACTGGAGGTCCAGGGTTCAGTCCTTGCGCTGATTCTTTTCCACAGTCAATCACTCCCTTGGTGCTTCATCCATGCTTGAGGTTTTAAGTATCGTTTATGTGGTGTGAGCTCCTAAATCTATTTCTCCAGCCCAGTCCTTTCCCCTGAACTGTGGAGTTGTCTGCCCAGCTGCCACCCCAGCTCCCCCACCTGCATTCCTAGTAGACATCTCCTCCACTGAGTGCCTGTGATGCCCCCTCCTCAGGATGCTCCTGCCAGAGTCTCCCCATCTCCACTGACAGCAGCTCCACCCTTCCTTCTACTCACTCATTTTACAACTATGGGTGTCCTTGATTCGTCTTTCTCACACCACAGATACAATCCATTGGCAAATGCTGTGAGTCCATCTTCAAATGCATCCAGAATCCCCTCACGTCCCACTATTTCCTGTGCTCACACCCCAGTCAAGGTAACCGACATCTCCAGCCTGGAATACTGCACTCGATTCCTACTGTTTTCCCTTCTGCCTCCCTCATCCCTCGCCTCTCAATTCTGTTCTCAGCACAGCCATCAGAGATCCTTTTAAGAAAGAAGTCATATCATGGCTCTCTTCTGCTCAAAACTGTCCTCTAACTCCCCATCCCACTCAGAGCAGAGGTCAGACGCAACCCCACTCCCCTCAAGCCCAACTGCTCTGGCCATACCTCTGACCTCATCTAGTTTCTCTGTCCAGCCCTCCTGGCCTCCTTGCTCTTCTGGGAACACAGACACCTTCCTGCCCTAGTGCATTTGGACTGGAGTTTCCTTGCCTAGAAAGAACTTCCCCAGACATCCTCATGTCCCTCAAATCTTTCCTCAAAGGTCATCTTTGCAACAAGGCACACATTGACAACTCCTGTCCAACAGCCACCTTCCCTGTCCCCACTGCCCATACCTGGATCACCTGCCTCATGGCACTTACCACCTTCCATCACTTTCTTTTCTTACTGTGGTTATAGTGTATGTATCGTCTGCCTCTTACCACTGAAGCATATGCTCAGATATTTTTCTGATTTTACTTCAATGGTGTTCCCCAGATTCAGAACTTTTCTGTCCTGTGTCTGGCTGACAACAAAGGTCAGTTGAATGATCAGTGTAGAGCACCTCCTATTCTAAAGCCAGTATCTTTATTAACATAGCCTCAGGCCAAGTGCTGTTTTGTGGCAGCTGCAGCACAAGGTCCCCTCACACTGACACCGAGGCCGCCTGTACTTTTCTCAGCAGGGCTGCTTGTGTGTCCTCCCTCCCCTATCCCTCCTCCCACACCAACCGCCCCGCACACTGCAGCACACAATCAGGTTTCTCTCTTCAGGAAGGAACAATTCTAGACTATGGACCCAATTCTACAAACAAATATAAATCTAAATTAGGCTCTGCTTTAGATTCATGAGTTGGGATTGGAGTCAGCACGAAGATTACTGGAATCAGGGAAGGGAGAGAGGGCAGGAGACCAAAGCAGAAGAGGAGCCCTAGAAGGAGGGCAGGAGCTGAATGGGTCTGAAAATTTGTCTCAGAAAGCACAGGGACTCCAGTGTGCAGCGGCTGCCCTGGGCGATGTGTGAGCCTCTGTGGTCACAGCTCCCGCTGGACAAGTTTCCACTGAAGGGACAAGGACAATGGAGCAGTGAAGGTGACCCAGCTGAGGACTGACCACATAAAGCCCATGAAGAACTGAACAGCAACTAGGCACAGGCCCCGTCCACACTCGTCTCCTCACAGCCTTCCCCACCCCCACCTGCAACAGACTCAGCACAGCGAACATGCGGATTCTGGAAGGTTCTCAGGTCTTTATTTGCTCTCTCAACTTCCAGGGATTGACTTATTTAATTAATCCATCAACCTCTCATAGCAAATATTTGAGAAAACAAATTTATATTCAGATTCTTATTTTCAGTAGGGAAGTAAGAAGTTGCAGCTCAGTACACGTAAAGTTGAGACAGAGATGGAGACATCCAGCCCACTTCTCTGGAACAGGAAAGATGATCGGGGAGGGAACACAGGTCAGTGTGGGGACAGGGGTCACGGTGGACACGGGGGTGGGCTGTCTCTCCACCTCCTCACATTATGCTAACAGGAACGCAGACGCATTCAGATGCCTTTGCAGAAAGAGATGCCAGAGGCTCTTGAAGTCACAAAGGAGAGGTGTGAAGAAATCCTGCATCTCAGTCCCACACAGGCAGCTGTCTCAGGCTACAGAACACAATAGTCATGAACAAATTCAGGTCAGTCATGGTAAGTGATGACACTCTGAACAGCTCACCACACATTCGAAACGTCCCAATCAAAGGATCCCCATTACCTAGGCCTTTTCCCTCTGCCCCACCCCCGACCACTTCAGCTCCCCAGAATCTCACCTTTACAAGCGATGAGAGACTCATCAGAGCCCTGGGCACTGTTGCTGGCTGGGGTAGAACAAAAAAAAAGACCTGGTCAGAGCCCGCAGGAGATGTGGGACAAGAGGAATTATGGGGTGGGTGAGCTCCTCCACACGCCCACTGCCATCACTTACACGCAGCCTGAGAGCAGCTCCCTCCTTTTCCACCTGTGGGAAGAAAATGCCCTGTGAGGGGACAGGGAGGAGGCAGGGCCATGCGATCTTAGGGGAACCTCCTAGTCTTGGACCCAAGAGAAGTTTCCAGAACTATGACTGCAGACCCAGGGCAGGATCAGGAAACACAGGGAAAGCAGCTGTGGGTTCTGGAGCAACTGCCCTCCTAAGGTCTGTCCTTAGCAGGGACCTTCCCCTGACTCATGAATGCTGGAATCAAGGACCCCAACACCATAATCATCAAGGTGATACATCTGTCCTTCATTGTCATGTGCTTCACAACAGAGTAAGTGCTGGCACACAGGGTCCCAGGCTGGGATGGCCCATGTGTGGATGGTGCTTCCAGTAACGAGGTGGGGCACACTTCTACCTGGGGCTTGAAACTCCCAGTGGGACAAGAAAACCCAGACCCCACTCCTCACCCCTTCCCTACCTGAGCTCTTCCTCCTACACATAACAACAGCCACCACAGCTCCTAGGACAGCTAGGACAGCCAGGACAGCCAGGCCAGCAACGATGCCCACGATGGGGATGGTGGGCTGGGAAGATGGCTCTGGGAAAGGAGGGGAAGGTGAGGGGCCCTGACCCCCAAGCCTCAGCCCTGACCCGGCTGAAGGGCTCCAGGACTTCTGCTTTCCCTGAGAAGACACATGACCCCTCATCCCCCTCCTTACCCCATCTCAGGGTGAGGGGCTCCGGCAGCCCCTCGTGCTGCACATGGCACGTGTATCTCTGCTCTTCTCCAGAAGGCACCACCACAGCTGCCCACTTCTGGAAGGTTCCATCTCCTGCTGGCCTGGTCTCCACAAGCTCGGTGTCCTGAGTTTGGTCCTCGCCATCCCGCTGCCAGGTCAGTGTGATCTCCGCAGGGTAGAAGCCCAGGGCCCAGCACCTCAGGGTGGCCTCATGGTCAGAGACGAGATGGTGGGTCACGTGTGTCTTTGGGTGTTCTGACGGGAAGAGTCAGAAAATTCAGACACTTTGTATCTCTCTTGCGACACTCCAACAGCGCCCATGTGACCATCCTGAGAATGGACAGGACACCTGGGGTGGGGAAGGGGGCACAGAACCCAGACGCCAGCCTGGACACAGGCACCTGGGATAATCTCCTATTCATTGGAAAGTTCTAGTCTCTGAGGGAGGAACAGCGACTTCTGGTCCTGACCTGAGTGGAGGCTGAAGAACTCAGAAAAGCTGGAATCAAACCTTCAAACACATTGAGCATGAGGCAGAGAACAAGGCCTGAGAGAAAGGTCAGCAGCCTGACCACAGCTGCTGCAGTGGTCAAAGTGGTCAAAGGGGACCCCTGATCAGTATTCCAGGGACTGTCTTCCCCTCCATTTCCTCAAGGACTTCATCCCTTAATTGTCCTAGAGAGCAGAGGGGGCCCTCAGAGGAAACTCAGGAAAACTCATCCCATTCTCCATTCAAGGGAGGGCGATATTCTAGCGCTGATCCCATTTTCCTCCCCTCCTCGTGGGAGGCCATCCCGGGAGATCTACAGGAGATGGGGAAGGCTCCCCACTGCCCCTGGTACCCGCGCGCTGCAGCGTCTCCTTCCCGTTCTCCAGGTATCTGCGGAGCCACTCCACGCACGTGCCCTCCAGGTAGGCTCTCTGCTGCTCCGCCGCACGGGCCGCCTCCCACTTGCGCTGGGTGATCTGAGCCGCCGTGTCCGCGGCGGTCCAGGAGCGCAGGTCCTCGTTCAGGGCGATGTAATCCTTGCCGTCGTAGGCGGACTGGTCATACCCGCGGAGGAGGCGCCCGTCGGGCCCCAGGTCGCAGCCATACATCCACTGGAGGGTGTGAGACCCTGGCCCCGCCCCCGTGGTCAGCCCCGTCCCGCGAGCCCCGCCCCAGCCCCGACCAACCCGCGGGGATTTTGGCCTAAACTGAAAATGAAACCGGGTAAAGGTGACTGGGGCTCTCTCCGGCCGAGGGTCTGGGCGGGTTCCGCAGCCTCGGGGTGGATCTCAGACCGGGAGACTCGGGGCGACCCGGGCCGTCCGTGGGGGATGGGGAGGGGTCGTGACCTGCGCCCCGGGCCGGGGTCACTCACCGGCCTCGCTCTGGTTGTAGTAGCCGCGCAGGTTCCGCAGGCTCACTCGGTCAGTCTGTGCCTGGCGCTTGTACTTCTGTGTCTCCCGGTCCCAATACTCCGGCCCCTCCTGCTCCACCCACGGCGCCCGCGGCTCCCCTCTTGGACTCGCGGCGTCGCTGTCGAACCGCACGAACTGCGTGTCGTCCACGTAGCCCACTGCGATGAAGCGGGGCTCTCCGCGGCCGGGCCGGGACACGGCGGTGTAGAAATACCTCATGGAGTGGGAGCCTGGGGGCGAGGAGGGGCTGAGACCCGCCCGACCCTCCTCCCTGCGCGGCTCCCCGGGTCCTGCGCCCTCGCCGGGCGGGCCCCTCGCTCCTCTCCGCAGAGGCCGTTTCCCTCCCAACCCCGCACTCACAGGCCCAGGTCTCGGTCAGGGCCAGGGCTCCCGAGAGCAGCAGGATGAGGGTTCGGGGCGCCATGACCCGCATCTCGGCGTCTGGGGAGAATCCGAGTCCGGGTGGGTGACTGGGGACTTTAGAACCGGGACTGCGGAGACGCTGATTGGCTTCTCTAGAACCCGACACCCAATGGGAGTGGGAATTGGGGACGCGTCATGAGTATTCAGGAAGAAGGACCCGACGCAGGTTGGGAGAAGAAGTGAAACTCAGGGGAGTGGAGAATCCTCAACGCGGCGCCTCCCCAGTGCAGACACGGCCCTTGGAGCCTGAGACCCTGAGAGCCCCGCCCGGGACCTGGGACTTCGTCCTGATCCCTCTTCTCCTACACCAAGCATCTTTGTCACACTGTGTGCCTGAGTCCTGGCCAAGGATCTGTCTGTGGAAACCAGGGAGAGACCCCCAGGCTGCGCCCAGCCCCTTCCCCTTCACTTCTCCTGGAATCCCCGTCCCTGAACTGGACTCCCTGCCTCCCACTCTTTGCCTTACCTTACCTCAGGTAATATTAAACTACATCCAGCAAAATAAAGGACACTTACCTCTCCCCTTGGACTCTTGTACAGGGAAACTCACCATGGGGAACTTGATGCCAGACAGTGAGCTCGCCCTGGGAATGGACGTGTAGAGTCAGGAGTTTTCTCTTTAAACCTGGTGAAGTTTTGTCTGAAAGCACCAGGTAGAGATTCTCATAGAGACCAGTTTCCTTTTTGTTTATTGATACAGTAGGTAGCACAATATTGGTAATCCCTGAATGATTAGAATTCCAATCTGTGAAAGACCTGTGTCAAAACTGCATTACAATTAAATTCTCAAAGCTCCTGTTTTACTTTCGCAGACTATGGATCTGTGACTCTGGGTTGTTGCATTTAAAATTATCCTCATTCTCTAGCCCGAGTTTCCCTGTGTGAGTCCAGAACATCTCCTGAATACAAAGAAGCAGGGTTTGTTACTGTCTATTGCAACCGGGAGCCTGTAGTCATCACCTCAAAGTTGCGAGGGCTCCATGCAGTCCCAATGCTCTTCACCAGCGCTCCAGCACTGCCCGTTTTCGTGAACTATGCACATCTAAGCAGTGTGCATATTTTATTTGGACACTTGATATTTTTGTAACCCCTTTTTAAAAAAAAATCATAAGGAGCCCATTAGTTTTAAGGCAGTCACACAAAATGTATTAAATACCGAATGCAAAGAACCCCCTGCCAGGCTCTTCTACTGCTTTAGAATTCTTTCCTCTGCTCCTTTTCCTCACCTCCTGCTTCTCCAGCCCTTCTGTCTGCCCCTCTCATCCCTCACACTCTCTTTCCCCTTTAGTCCCCGCCACCCTGTCACTCCTGAATTGTGGCACTAACACTGTCCCTCACTTCCTGCCCATGTCTGTTCTCCCCACAGTGCTCAGCAGTCCTGCTAATGTGACTCAGGTCGTGTCATTTCTTCACTTATAATGGTTGGATTTTGGTCTACCATTTTGCTATACGTTTTCAATTTGTCTCATATCTTTTTGTTTCTGTTCCTCCTTTGCTACTTTCTTATGTGTCAAGTAAACATTTTTTAGCTTATGGTTTTAATTCTCCTAGTGGCTTTTAGCTATATTTCTTTACATTAATTTTTTATTGTTGTAAGAATTGAAACCCAATTCCTTGACTTTTCACAGTGAAATTCAAGTAATATTAAGCTGCATCCAGCAAAATAAAGGACACTTCAAATGGTGTAGTTTCATTTAAACTATCATTATGCTATTATTATTGTATATGTTACATTAATATACGTTATAAACTCAACGATACAGTGTAATACTTTTTGTTTTAGACAAGCAGTCACATATCTTCAGGAAATTAAGAAAATGGGTGTGTATGTGATATGTGTATGTGCATCATTTCTGTTGTTAATTGTTCCTTTCTGTATATCTGGGTCACCATCTAGTATCATTTCCCTTCAGCCTGTAGAACGTCCTTTAAAATTACATGTAGTACAGGACCCCTAGGAAATGAATTTTATGGGTTTGATGATCTAACAATGTCTTTATTTTTGCCTTCTTTCCTCCCCCCTCCCCCCCTTTTTTTTTTGCTTATTAGGGCGTTTACGTGTAAAAAAATTCACCAGTTTTAGCTGCACTTTTTGGTGGATATTGGTAATTATTTATAGTGTAACTACCACACTGCCCAGTAGAGAAACACCAAATGCAAAGATCCTCCTACTAGGCCCCTCCACTGCTTTAGAGTCCTTTCCCCTGCTCCTCGTCCTCTCCTCCTGCTTCCCCAGCCCTTCTCTCTGCCCCTTATCCCTCAGACCTTCTTCTCCCCTTACTTCCCCCTCCCAGTCACTCCTGAGTTGTGGCGCTGTAGAGAACAGTTTCTTTTCCCTAAAAACTTTCTTTATGCCCCTTTCTATTTAATCCTTGCCTCCCACCCTCACCCCCTTCCCTTCATTCAACCACTGCTGTGCTTTCTGTCACTGCAATAGTGACATTTCTAGAATTTCATGGACATGCAATCATATGTTATGTAGTCTTTTGTTTGGTCTCTCCCTTAGCATAACGATGTTTGAGATGATGCCATTCATTCATTTTTGTTGCTGAGCAGCTGCCGAGTATTGCTGGAATCCCAGTTTATTCATTGGTTTCTGTGTCTCCAGTTGATAGACATGTGGATTCCTCCAGTTAGGGTTTGTTATTAATGAAGCCACTATAAATAACTGCTTACAAGTGTGGACTTACATTTTTATTTCTTTTGGATAAATACATATTTGTGGAATTGCTGGGCCATGTGGTAATAGATGGGTAACTGTATAAGAAACTGCCATACCACTTTACAAATTGGCTGCCACATTTCTTGCATTCCTACCAGCAATATCAGACATTCCTATTTTTTCCATATTCTTGCCAGTGTTAAGACTTATCATATGTCTTTTTAACTTTACCTGCTCTAGGTGATGTGTGATGGTTTCTCATTGTGGTTTTAACTTGCACTTCTTAGATGACTAGTATTGTTTGCTATCTTTTCATGTTCATCTAAGTGACTTATTACATATATTTTATGAACTATTTTGCAAATTCAATGATTAATTCCAGAGACTTTTTCAGAATTCCCTAGTGTTTTCTACATATACAATGAAGCTGGTGACAAAGAAAGACTTTCATTTCTTCCTTTCTTATCCATTGATCTGTTTTCTTTTAAAATTATTATTATTTGGTAGAGATGAGGTCTCACTTATCAGGCTGGTCTCAAACTCCTGATCTCAAGTGATCCTCCCACCTCAGCCTCCCAAAATGCAGGGATTACAGGCATGAGCCACCATGCCTGGTCCTTGTTGCACTGGTTAGGATGGCTGTTAGGTGTTTAAACAAGAATGATGAGAGCTCACATGTTTGTTTACAAGGAACTTAAACAAATTTACAAGAAAAAAACCCATCCCCATCAAAAAGTGGGCAAAGGATATAAACAGACACTTCTCAGAGGAAGACATTTACGTGGCCAAGAAACATATGAAAAAAAGCTCACACACGTATATGAAACGTGACTGTTTATAATCCTATCCAAAAAAGACCTGATTTCAAGCAACAGCAGGATTGCTTCCGTTCAATACTTGGACCTGCAAACATCAAAAAAGCCACTGGAGAAACTGAACGACTCTCTGAAAGCCTTAAACTAAAATATGAAGAAGTTGAAATCTGGAAAAAACTTGAGGAAAAGGACAGGCAGGGGGAAGCACAGTGGCTACAACAAAAAAGGCAGGAAACAGGAAGAGAGGATGGCAGCACGTTGGCTAAAGGTTCTTTGGAGATTGTATTGGATTCCAAAGACAAAACCCAAAAGAGCAATGGTGAAAAGAATGAAAAATGTGAGACCAAAGAGAAAGGAGCAATCACAGCAAAGGAACTATACACAATGATGATGGATAAAAACATCAGCTTGATTATAATGGATGCTCAAAGAATGCAGGATTATCAGGATTCCTGTATTTTACATTCTCTCAGTGTTCCTGAAGAAGCCATCAGTCCAGGAGTCACTGCTAGTTGGATTGAAGCACACCTCCCAGATAATTCTATAGACACATGGAAGAAGAGGGGGAATGTGGAGTATATGGTACTTCTTGACTGGTTTAGTTCTGCAAAAGATTTACAGATTGGAACAACACTCTGGCATCTGAAAGATGCACTTTTCAAGTGGGAAAGTAAAACTGTCATGTGCAATGGGCCTTGGGCCTTTGGTTTTAGAGGGAGGCTATAAAAACTGGTTCCTTTGCTATTCCCAGTATACAACAAATGCTAAGGTCACTCCACCCCCACAACACCAGAATGAAGAGTTGTCTATCTCATTGGATTTTACTTATCCCTCATTGGAAGAATCAATTCCTTCTAAACCTGCTGCCGAGATGCCACCTCCACCTATAGAAGTGGATGAAGACATAGAATTGATAAGTGATCAAATAAGTGATAATGATCAAAATGAGAGGACAGGACCACTGAATATATCAATTCCAGTTGAATCAGTTGCTGCTTCTAAATCTGATGTTTCACCCATCATTCAGCCAGTGCCTAGCATAAAGAATGTTCCACAGATTGATCATACTAAAAAACTGGCAGTCAAATTGCCTGAAGAGCATATAATCAAATCTGAAAGTACAAATCATGAGCAACAGTCTCCTCAGAATGAAAAAGTTATTCCTGATTGTTCCGCCAAGCCAGTAGTTTCCTCTCCAACTCTCATGTTAACAGATGAAGAAAAGGCTCATATTCATGCAGAAACTGCTCTTCTAATGGAGAAAAACAAACAAGAAAAAGAACTTCAGGAAAGACAGCAAGGGAAACAGAAAGAAACTGAGGAGGGAAGAACACGAGCAAAAAGCCAAAAAGAAACAAGAAGCTGAAGAATATGAAATTACACAGAAGCAACAAAAAGCAAAAGAAGAAATGGAGAAGAAAGAACGTGAACAGGCCAAGAAAGAGGATAAAGAAATCTCAGCAAAGAAGGGCAAAGAAATAACAAGAGTAAAAAGACAAAGTAAAAGTGATCATGAAACCTCTGGTGCCGAGAAGTCTGTAGAGGACAGGGGGAGAAGATGTTCAACCCCAGAAGTACAGAAAAAGTCAACAAGAGATGTGTCCCATACATCTGCGACAGGGGATTCAGGTTCAGGCAAGCCTTTTAAGATTAAAGGACAACCAGAAACTGGAATTCTAAGGACAGAAACTTTTAGAGAGGATACAGATGATACTGAAAGAAATAAAACTCAACGAGAACCTTCGATAATAGCACGAAGTGAAGAAATGGGGAGGATGGTACCAGGACTGCCTTCAGGCTGGGCCAAGTTTCTTGATCCAATCACTGGAACGTTTCATTATTATCATTCACCACTAACACTGTTCATACGTACCCACGGGAAATGGCTCCTTCATCTGCACCTCCTTCCACCCCTCCAACTCATAAAGGCAAGCCACAGATTCCTGCTAAGCAGGATAGGGAACCTTCCAAACTGAAATGCTCTTACTCCTCCCCAGATATAACCCAGGCTATTCAAGAGGAAGCCAGCAGTAACTCCAACAGTTAATCAGGAAGACAAGCCAACATGCTACCCTAAAGCTGAGATCTCAAGGCTTTCTGCTTCTCAGATTTGGAAACTCAATCCTGTTTTTGGAGGTTCTGGACCAGCTCTTACTGGACTTCGTAACTTAGGAAATACTTGTTATATGAACTCAATATTGCAGTGCCTATGTAATGCTCCACATTTGGCTGATTATTTCAACCGAAACTGTTATCAGGATGATATTAACAAGTCAAATTTGTTAGGGGCATAAAGGTGAAGTGGCAGAAGAATTTGGTATAATCATGAAAGCCCCGTGGACAGGACAGTATAGATATATCAGTCCAAAAGACCTTAAAGTCACCATTGGGAAGATCAATTACCAGTTTGCAGGATACAGTCAAGATTCACAAGAATTTCTTCTGTTCCTAATGGATGGTCTCCATGAAGATCTAAATAAAACTGATAATCGGAAGACATATAAAGAAGAAAATAATGATCATCTCAATGACTTTAAAGCTGCAGAACATGCCTGGCAGAAACACAAGCGGCTCTATGAGTCTATTATTGTTGCACTTTTTCAGGGTCAATTCAAATCTACAGTACAGTGCCTCACCCGTCACAAAAAGTCTAGGACACTTGAGGCCTTCATGTATTTGTCTCTACTGATAGCATCCACAAGTAAATGTACATTATAGGATTGCCTTAGATTATTTTCTAAAGAAGAAAAACTCATAGATAATAACAGATTTTACTGCAATCTTTGCAGAGCTCGACGGGATTCTTAAAAAAGAAATCTGGAAGTTACCACCTGTGCTTTTAGTGCATCTGAAACATTTTTCCTACAATGGCAGGTGGAAACAAAAATTACAGACATCTGTGGACTTCCCGTTAGAAAATCTTGCCTTGTCACAGTATGTTATTGGTCCAAAGAACAATTTGAAGAAATATAATTTGTTTTCTGTTTCAGATCACTGCGGTGGGCTGGATGGAGGCCATTACACAGCCTACTGTAAAAATGCAGCAAAACAGCGGTGGTTTAAGTTTGATGATCATGAAGTTTCTGATATCTCTGTTTCTTCTGTGAAATCTTCAGCAGCTTATATCCTCTTTTATACTTCTTTGGGACCATGAGTAACTGATGTAGGCACATAAGGAGACATAGGTTATAAACTAGTTATCTTTTAAAAGGCTCAGCAACACAATTCTTGAAATGCTTATCAAGATAATGGTAGCAATAGCTGGCCATTTAGAGGAATTCTAGGACAGTGGGAGCTGTGTTACTAGCACTATATAATTCCTGTCAGTGGTGACAAATAACACTTAACAAGTATTGCAGTAAGCATCACTTACAGGTACCATTTATTTCAAAACAACTTTTTTAGTCTGCTCCAAAGTTAAAATAATTAACTAGCTAAGCATTATTATTCTACTGGTCTAAAAACCATTGTACCCTTTTTTTCCTTTTCACTGTTACAGCCTTTTCACATTTCTAAATCCCATCTTCATATACTATGAATACTCTAGAATGATGTGAAGCAGATAGGAATGTATGTGTACATATTTATTGCATACTTACACATCAAATCGATATACATAGTTTAACATGTGGTCCTTTTGTGAAACTTAGAACTCAGAGGATTGCATTTTTTTCTTTGAGCATATTTTGAGTAACTGCAGTGCTTTCTTAGGGAAATGACAGGGCAAAGCTATTTTTCTGTTGGCTTTGGGGGCATTTGGGTGCACTAAATCTTTATCTTAAAAAATAAATGGAAACTTCCTTTAATTTTTTGAAATGAGACATTAAAATCTTAATGAGAAAAATTTAAAAAGCTCAATATCACTGCTCATTAGAGAAATGTAAATCAAAGCCACAATGAGATACCATCTCCCGCCAGTCAGAATGGTAATTATTAAAAAGTCAAGAAACAATAGATGCTGGTGAGGCTGTGGAGAAATAGGAACACTTTTACACTGTTGTTGGGAATGTAAACTAGTTCAACCATTGTGGAAGACAGTGTGGCCATTCCTCAGAGACCTAGAACCAGAAATACTATTTGACCCCTTGGGTATCTACCCAAAGGAATATAAATCATTCTACTATAAAGACACATGCACACGTATGTTTACTGCAGCACTATTTACAATAGCAAAGACTTGGAACCAACCCAAATGTCCATCAGTGATAGATGGATAAAGAAAATGTGGTGCATACCACCATGGAATAGTACACAGCCAGAAAAAGGAATGAGTTCATGTCCTTTGCAGGGACATGGATGAAGCTGGAAGTCATCATCCTCAGCAAACTAACACGGGAACAGAAAACAAAGCACCTCATGTTCTCATTCCTAAGTGAGAGTTGAACAATGACAACACATGGACACAGGGAGGGGAACAACACATATCAGGGCCTTTTGGGGAGTGTGGGGGGCAAGGGACGGGAACTTAGAGGATGGGTCAATAGGTGCAGCAAACCACCATGGCAGACTATACGCATGTAACAAACCTGCAGGTTCTGCACATGTATCCTGGAACCTAAAGTAAAATAAAACAAAGCAAATTAAAAAAAGAAAGCCCATGTCTTACATGTATGCATATGTTCATTGCAGCACTATTCACAATAGCAAAGACATGGAATCAACCTAAATGTCCATCAATGGTAGACTGGATAAAGAAAATGTGGCAAATATGCTCTACCGGCAGGATTTGATGGCGTGATGTCTCACAGAAAGTTCTCCACTCCCAGACATGGGTCCCTCGGCTTCCTGCCTTGGAAGCGCAGCAGCAGGCATCGTGGGAAGGTGAAGAGCTTCCCTAAGGATGACCCGTCCAAGCCGGTCCACCTCACAGCCTTCCTGGGATACAAGGCTGGCATGACCCACATCGTGCGGGAAGTCGACAGGCCAGGATCCAAGGTGAACAAGAAGGAGGTGGTGGAGGCTGTGACCATTGTGGAGAGGCCACCAGTGGGCATTGTGGGCTGCGTGGAAACCCCTCAAGGCTTCCGGACTTGCAAGACTGTCTTCGCTGAGCACATCAGTGATGAATGCAAGAGACGTTTCTATAAGAACTGGCATAAATCTAAGAAGAAGGCCTTTACCAAGTACTGCAAGAAATGGCAGGATGAGGATGGCAAGAAGCAGCTGGAGAAGGACTTCAGCAGCATGAAGAAGTACTGCCAAGTCATCTGCGTCATTGCCCACACCCAGATGCAACTGCTTCCTCTGTGCCAGAAGAAGGCCCACCTGATGGAGATCCAGGTGAATAGAGGCACTGTGGCTGAGAAGCTGGACTGGGCTGGCGAGAGGCTCAAGCACCAGGTACCTGTGAACCAAGTGTTTGGGCAGGATGAGATGATCGACGTCGTCAGGGTGACCAAGGGCAAAGGCTACAAAAGGGTCACCAGTCGTTGGCACACCAAGAAGCTGCCCCGCAAGACCCACCAAGGCCTGTGCAAGGTGGCCTGTATTGGGGCATGGCATCCTGCTCGTGTGGGCTTCTCTGTGGTATGTGGTGGGCAGAAAGGCTACCATCACCGCACTGAGATCAACAAGAAGATCTATAGGATTGGCTAGGGCTACCTTATCAAGGATGGCAAGCTGATCAAGAACAATGCCTCCACTGACTATGACCTGTCTGACAAGAGCATCAACCCTTTGGGTGGCTTCGTCCACTATGGTGAAGTGACCAATGACTTTGTCATGCTGAAAGGCTGTGTGGTGGGAACCAAGAAGTGGGTGCTCACCCTCCGCAAGTCCTTGCTGGTGCAGACAAAGCAGTGGGCTCTGGAGAAGATTGACCTTAAGTTCATTGACACCCCCTCCAAGTTTGGCCATGGCCGCTTCCAGACCATGGAGGAGAAGAAAGCATTCATGGGACCACTCAAGAAAGACCGAATTGCAAAGGAAGAAGGAGCTTAATGCTGGGAACAGATATTGCAACTGGTGGGATCTCAATAAAAGTTATTTTCCATTAAAAAAAAAAGAAAAAGAAAATGTGGCACATATACACCACAGAATACTATGCAGCCATAAAAAAGAATGAGATCATGTCCTTTGCAGGAACATGGATGGAGTTGGAGGCCATTATCCTTAGCAAACTAAGGCAGGAACAGAAAACCAATTACCACATGTTCTCACTTATAAGTAGGAGTTATATGATGAGAACACATGGACACGCAGAAGGGAACAACACACACTGGGGTCCACTTGAGGGTAGAGGGTGGGAGGAGGGAGAGGATCAGGAAAAATAGCTAATGGGTACTAAGGCTTAATACTTGGGTGGGTACTAATGGGTACAGAAATAATCTGTACAATAAAACCGCATGACACAAGTTTACCTATATAACAAACCTGCACATGTACTCCTTAACTAAAAATAAAAGTTAAATTAAAAAAAAAAGAAACAAAGAAAGTGCATATCTGGAAAGAGCATATGGTTGGGTTCTGTGTTTTGTTTTTTTTTTAACCAATTGACACAATCTCTGCCCTTCATGGGAGTGTTGATTCATATAGGTTTTTTTTTTCATTATTGATAAGTTTTAGGTCTACCATGTTATTTCCTCAGTTTTGGTTTCTCTGTTCCTCTTGTCCTGACCAACAACTTCTTATTAGAAACCATAGAAACAAAAGAAAGTAGAATAACACCTTTAAAGTGCTGGAAGAAAAAAAGGACAACTAAGAATTCTATATCCAGCACAGATGTCCTTCAAGGACAGGCAAAATAAGGAGATGTTTCAGGTAAAAGAAAATTAAGAGAATTTGTCACCAGCAGATCTGCACAATAACAATTGGTAAAGAAAATTCTTCAGGCTAAAGGCAAATGATACCAGGTGGGAAATGAGGTTATCAGAAAAGATGAAGATGATCAAAAATGGTAAATACTGAGCTAAGTGCAAAAGGCTATCTTGTTCCCCTCATTTACTCTAATTTATATACATAGAACTGTTTAAAGATAAGAAGAAGTTTTTTTCTTGTGGGACTTATAACCTATATAGATATATTACATATAATATCTGTACCATAAAGATGGACATTTTATAGAGGATAAATGGTTGCAAGATTTCTCTATTTATGGGTACTAGTACATTTTTAACTGAAAGTGGACTGTGAAATGTTAAGAAGAGTTAAGTTCTGAAGGAAATTGAGACACAAAAACCATTCAAAAGATTAACAAATCTCATGATGGTTTTTTGAAAAAAACAAAACAAAACAAAATAAAAACTAAACCAAAATAAAACCCTAGCCAGTCTTGAGTCTCATCATCCTACGATTTCAGAACTATTGTGAATACAAAAGTAATCAAAGAACAGTCCTGCCCAGAAAGAGGAGTTATCCCTAAATATGGTGTCCCTGGAACAGGTGGCTCTCCCTGCTGGACCTCTTCCACGTGGGTGCTTTCTGCAGTGACTTTGTTGCCTTGCTCTTCCACTCTACCCAGTGTCCTGACCCAAGAGACAAGGGGTGTCTGCTGCTGTGTCCACACTTGGAGAAAGAAACCTTGATAGTGTCAGTACATTACAAGCTGGGCATGACAGCTCATGCCTGTAATCCCAGCAATTCAGGATGCTAAGGCAAGAGGATTGCTTGAGATCAGGAATTAGAGACCAGCTTGGACAACATAGTGAGACCCTCGTCTCTAAAAAAATAAAAATAAGTAAACAGCTGGGCCTGGTGGTGTGCGCTTGTATTTCCAGGTATTGTGGAGGCTGAGGTGGGAAGATCCCTTGAGCTCATAAATACAAGGCTGCATTGAGCTACGATCCCACCACTGGGCTCCAGCCCAGGCCAGAGTGAGGTCTTGACTCAAAAAAATACATTGTAAGCCTTTGCTCACTATGGGTTATTTATTATTTATTCAATGTGTATTTTGATTTTATTTTACTGGCAGCACAATAAACCAGGACATGCTGAAACTAGAAATCACATCCACTCTCCAGTGTTAAAAAGCCCAGTCTAGGGAGGTGAGAAGGAGACAGTCCTTATTAGCGTTGAGGATTCAGGGAGATCGAGATGGGCTGGGCAGGAAGGTTCTTACTTGGAACCTGGAGGATGAGCAATGACATTCCTCTCTCCACCTTAAAGTTCATCCTGGGCATCCGCCTCCTGGGAGCAGGAGCACTGCAAGCTCCGCCTCCCGGGTTCACGCCATTCTGGCTCAGCCTTCCGAGTAGCTGGGACTACAGGTGCCCGCCACCACGCCCTGCTAATGTTTTGTATTTTTTAGTAGAGACGGGGTTTCACCGTGTTAGCCAGGATGGTCTCAATCTCCTGACCTCGTGATCCGCCCGCCTCGACCTCCCAAAGTCCTGGGATTACAGGCGTGAGCCACCGCACCCGGCCTCTCCTTGGGATTTCTTTACTGGACACCAGCCTGAGTCAACTTTCCTGTAAAGCAAAAGAAGCGTGAGGTTGCTAAAGGAGGAATGGTGTGATCTCCACCTTTGGCGAGATCCCTGTCACCGTGTTCAGGCGAAGGGCCAGGCCTTACTCCCCATGCAGAGAGGAGGCTATGGCCATGAAGACGCCTGTGGAGAAGTGAGGACCCGCTCCCTCTACACTGATGGCCAAGAGCCTACAGATGGCGGAGAAGGCTTCCCTTCAGCTGTGTCCTATCAGGTTCTTCCAGGAGTCAAGGAGTAGACCTGCATGTTACCTCTGGTGATGTAAGCTGCATGCACACCTAGAAGTGAGGTCACCCCTGCTGGGGGTCCTGGGGCTGCTGGTTGTTCTGGGTGCTCAGTGTCCAGAAAAGAAGATGGGGAGGAGGCTTTGTGCAAAACAGTAACCATACTCTATAAATTATTTTTTCATTAGCCTTTGTGTCATAAAATAAAATATAGGACTCCAAAAGAAAAAAATGTCTAAAATTTGTGTCCTTTAATACAAAGTAAACACCCATTAATCACCAGGGATAGATGTTTGTGGGGCAAACCAGAAGCCCCATCATTTGCTCCAGCCCAGCAATAAACTCTTTCTTCCCTCAAATAAAAACACAACCTGACTTTTACGATCATCACTTCTTTGTTTTATTTTTATTTTTATCATCCAATATTATGATTTAGTTTTACCTTTAGAAATATGCTTTTGTTGTCTTTATTCTATAGATTCTTCCTTGAAATTTATATTGTGTGGTAGAGCTTCCCATAGTGTGCATTTTGCTGATTGCTCCCCAAGGCATAGTTTAATATGTATTTCTATTATCTGTATTGCCTCTAAATTGGTAATTGGCTATGGAGATCAGCTTCTATTCAGGCTTGGTTTCTTTTTCACTTGGACTTGTTTGATGGTGCTGTATTGTGTTCTTCCATCAAGAGGAAGAACCTCACATTAGTTTTTTCTTTTATTGTGTTGTTAATTGCCATTGCTATTCAATGGCTAAATCTGTTAATTCATGATGGGTTGCAAAAGAGTTATTATAGTCTCAGTCTCTCATTCCTTCTTCATTTATTATCTGAATAATTTCTAAGTAAGAGATTCACCCTCCTCTACTGTTTGTTTACTACTAGAAACTTGGTTTTTGAGAGACTAAGCCAATCATCTACTCACCTATGATCCAGCAATAGCACTCTTAGTTCTAAACCAATAGAAATGCATGTATGTGTGTGCCAAACTATATGAAAATATTATTCATAGCAGCACGATTTGTAAAATCTGTATACAACAAAATTGTCTATCAACAGTGAAAGGACAAGAAATGTGAGTTATTTATAAAGTGGAACATTGGACAGCTATGGGAGTGAATAGGCTACGACCACACACAGCGAGATGATGAGACCCAGGGTCATGATGGTGACTGTATAATGCCATTCAACTAGACCTGGCAGAACTCATCTGTATTAGAAATCAAGAGTGGCTACTCTAGGGTGGGGAGGGTGGTTTATGACTGAGTAGGACCCAAAGATGCCAGCAAAGTAGGCCTCTACATTAAAAAAAAAAGAGAGAGAAAAATTAAACAGAGAAATTTAAAAGTTTATAAATAATGTTTACTTGTATTCAAGAAAATTATAGCGACAGCCGCCAGATAATGATCAGCTCTAAAAAGAGAAGCTCAAGAAGCTCATGCCACAGCAGCTGGTACAGCTGAGGAGATCAGATAAACCAGCACAAGCATGGTCATGAAAGGGAGCTGCAGACATATGGTTTCCAGAGTTTCAAAATCCATATGACTAAAATCTATGTGATGCGTATTATATGATGACTGCCTCAAGACAGACAGGTGTCCACTTAGAGACACAGAGCTGTGACTTGCAGGGGCTGGTTGATTTTCTCAGAACTCATTAACCTAAATCCATTAGTTACCATCCTGTTTCCACTCCTATCATCACCTCAGACAACGCTGCGTTTAGCTCAAGATTCTTCCCTTCATCGTAACTGAAAGTCACTAATGACTGCAATCAATTTGAAATACTATAAGTAGGTAAGATTTCCTCAGTAAGTAAATGGTCTTAGCATATTTTTGAAGTCATAACTATAATCAAAGCCTGGGACATTTATTTGTTCTAAACAAGCAGTTATTCTTCATCCAGAATTACACAATAGAAGCTCTCATTCTTGCATTTCCCAACAGTTTGCCTTAGCCAGGAAAATAAACCCCATGGGTCTCTAGCATGACCACGGTGCAAGAATAAGGGGAAGGGCAGAGGTGAGAACTAAGTGCTCTTCTACAGCTACGGGTCTATCAAGGTAATCTTGAGAGGTACTTATCAACATGTGATGTGCCAGCAACAACATGAGGGAAGATAACCACGTGTTTCTAGGATAAGGCAAAGGCCCTGCTCATGGATTCATCCGTAATCTGAACACAGCACATGAAGAGTGAACAGCTGTCAATATCTACTTTCACCTCAATGTAAACTTTCAAAATTAAGACCAAGTGGAGCACAGTGCCCTCTGAAGCACTGTCTGTCACACACTAAGGAGCTAAGAACTCCTGTGGCCTCCTTTAGAACACAGCTCTTCCAGGACACACAATGAGCAGGCCTGCTTTAGCACCCAGGGCCCACATGCAGCTGCTCTGCCCAGAGCTGCCCAGCTCCTGGACCACTCACCTCTGCTCCTGCTGGCTGGTGCCCAAGCTGTAAGGGCTGGCAAATATTTTGAGTATTGGTCCCAAAGTCCCCTGAAGGTGAAAGGATCTTGTTCTTCATTTTCATTACTTCTAAGCACTGAGACCTCTTACAAGAATCATCCACAAGCATTTACTAAGTGAATGTTCACAGGAAACCCTTCCTGAAAAGGGTCCTTCCAACTTTACATTTGACAAGTGTGTACTAAGGCAATAAAACTATTCAACTGAGCATTCAAATTCACACAGAGGATACCACGCCAAGAAAATGAAAGCAGAAATATTGGATTCTCCTTATTTGTTAAACCTTTCCCTCTAGAACCAACAGCTTTTCAAACTCATAAAACACCCCAAAACAGTAAAACAATATCAATTACTCATCTGAAGATATCCACCTGAAACACAGTTATTAATCTTCAAAGGCCTAGCACCAGGCAGCTTCACACAGCACATCTGCAGAATTGTAATGATCAATAAGAGTAAACCCAAAATACACTAAATACTTTCATGGCCTACAGGAAAAAAAAAAACGCTCTTTTCAGGACGATGTAATAGTTACATCCTATTTCTTCATGTGCAGCATGATATTCTATGCTTAATGGCATTTAAATGTTACACAGTAAATACTGAGAAAGCCCAGAATTTTTGGATGTGCAGAAGCAATATCACATCATTAATACAAAAGGTGCTCAGCTGCGGGATTATAATACCATTGAGTGCTGAGACCACTTGAAATCTTAAGTACATTCTTAGCATATGGTCTCCTGGCTGTCACCCAGCCTGGTACCAGCTACCCACCTGTTGCATAGAGCTAGCCCCAGCACTGCCTTGGTTGGGCCAGTTGTTTTTGTCAAACTCTAAGTCTCCCTCAGAATCCCTGTACTTCTCCACTGCAATGTATTGACAGGGTTGTGACCTTGTCCTTCCCAAGGGGCTCACTCTTGGCCTCTTGCTCACACAGATCCTGCACCTTTTCCAGTCAAATCCCCATTCCAGTAGCAGCAAGGAGATCACTTCTCGTATCACTTTTTGGTGGCTGTGCAGGTTCTTGACACTTTGCCTCAGCTACTGGTGGCAGTGTGGGGGCGAATGCATGGGGAAGACAAAAAAGAACTGAGCCAAGAGGCCTGGTGGGGAAAGTGTGTGGCTGGAGGAGGGAATGCTGGACCCAGGGGCCAGTGGAGGGAGGGTGAGGAGGAGGGTGTGTGGAGCCAGCTGATATGAGGAAGGAGGCGGCAGGAGGATTTGCAGAAGGCAACAAAGGCAGTTTGTACTGTAAAAGGGGGAAGAGAAGGAGGTCTTGACGGGTTGTAATATGCAAGCACCTGTGCTGGGAGCATCCTGTAGTCTCCTGGAGCCATAAGTGCACAGGATTGGAACACAGCTGGGGTAAGGCAGGGAAGTGGGGGCCTCTCTTGAGGTCCATTTAGGGCCATGTGCCTCACTGAGGCAGAGGAGGGGTGGCACTCAAGCTCAGGGGCCTGGTTTGTGGGCCCATGTGGACATGCATCTTCAGCTGCCTAGGAAGGGTCGTGAGAATGGTTTGGAGTAGCTCGATAAGAGCATCCCTAACATCCATTGTATGGGACCTGCTGTCTAGGGACAGGGGTTCTTGCAGGATGCTCCATGGTACACACTGAGACAACCTGTTGCTGGGTCTAAGCTCTTTGTCATATGCCATCATATTCCACTCATGGTGCTTGTTTCTGGCTTTTGTAATCCTTTTCACATCATAAGTGGTGCCATCTATGTGGTTTTGCTACTTTTGATGCCTTCTGTCTTTCCTTTTGTCTTCTGTGTCCTGCAGCACTTCTTCTTTCCAGAGGTCAAATAAATGGGAAGGATCAGTATAGAACTTCAGCCTGTCTTTATCATCTCCATGTGCTCTCATGCTATTCAGGGGAGGTGGTCAATCACTCTGATTGTAAATGTCAGCAGCAGGAGTAGGAATGCTGCTCTTTGAAACTGCTTGCTGGTCTTGGGCTGGGGAACTTTTGAGGGCTTTTTCCATGTTGATGTCCTGTGGTGACACCTCTTCCACTGCTGAATCCAGCTGAGTGACTTTGACCATGAGGCAACAAATTCTAAGAGAATTTGATCTAATGTGGAAGTAGTTAGCCTCCTTAAATAGCTCACCAAATATGTCTTCAGCATGTATGTTCAGATTGCTTAGCTGGTGCGTAATAGTGACAAGATTGTTGTTGGTTACACTTTCAAGTCACTGGTAATCCCTTCAGGCAGAGTTCCCTGGTGCAAATGCTGGGATTAGATGCTCCTCTTCACGGGAGGCATGGCTTATAATGTTCTAATTGACTAATGGCTTCAGAAATTTCCTCAGGAAGCATCACCACTTTGATTCAGATACCAGCAGTAACTGCAATCAAAATTAAAATGATCAGTCCCGCTGATGTAGAGGCAGAGATTGCACTGGTAGCTCCCTGATCTTACTCCACACCAGAACACACATCCCTGGGGCTAGCTAAGTTGCCTCAGGCCAGGCCAAGGCCTTGGTCACCCTATTTGTAATTTTCTCTGCAGTTATTTTGCTTTCATTTATTGAACACCTTAGATATGAGCTAAAATCCCCCACCAAATGTGGGAAACTTTCAACTATTATTTTCTCAAATATTTTTTTCTGATCCTGTGTCTTCTTTCGAGGATCCACTTGCATATCTGGTCACCTGCTTTATATTCTCTGATGGGTTCATGACGTTCTCTTCATTTTTTTCTTTAATCTTATTTCAATCTGTGTTTTGGATTTTAGAATTGAGCACATTCTGGAGATTTATATTCAAAGTCACAGGCTTGTTCTTTATTCTGCCATCTCAAAACTTCTGTGGACCTCTTCCAGAATACTTTCATTTTCTTTTTTTTCTGTTTGAGAATTTCCACTTAGTATCTTACGTGGTTTCAGCAGGGGTTTCTGGGTGTGTGTCCTGCATCTGTGTAATTTAGAGGTTGACCAAGTATTTGGGTCATTTATACTC
This sequence comes from Homo sapiens, assembly GCF_000001405.40. Lineage (NCBI taxonomy): Eukaryota > Metazoa > Chordata > Mammalia > Primates > Hominidae > Homo > Homo sapiens. The sequence continues at coordinate 2,598,654 of NT_167246.2, forward strand.
AGATTTTGTGATTCAACTTCATTGTGGTTGCTTTGTTTCTGGAATTCTCTTTGAATTTCCAATTGTTTTGTTAGCCTCAAATCCTGCCTTTTCACCTCTCAAGCCAGTAAGATTTTTGCTTTCTTCTACTGAGCTCTGTGCAGGTTGGCAAATGCACTCAGTCCATGTTACTGAAGACTTGCAGATCTCACCAGGATCATTTATCTCTTTGGAGGGTAGACCTCCCTCTAGTTTCTTTCTGGTTTTTCACCAGATTCCCAAGTGGCCCACACCCATGCAGAGTTTAGTGTTCAACTAGGGATGAGCATAATTTGCATTCACATTGTTGATCTCAACTCTTCTGCAGCTCTCTTTCAACATTCTCATTTACATTTCTAGCTGATTTGGGCTCTGAACTCTATAAACTGCCCATATTGAGCCACTAGGGCTGCAGTTATCTGCTGGGAGGCTGAAGAGCACTCATAGGTAAGAAGGAAAGGCCACCAACTTGCAGTCCTTACCTAAGACAGAAGGAGTCTTAAACAAGAAAGCTCTTATCACATATTGCTTGCCTTTGTTAATTTTCCAGTGACTTCAAATGTTTGTTTTTAGTATTTAGTACAGTTTTCATGTTGCTGTTGGAGGAAAACTTGCTGGTCTATCTCTTCATGTTGCCATAACCAGAAGTTCTACCCTGAAAGAGACTTTTGGGAGAGAAGGTCACAATCCACAATTCAATCTTCTGAGACAAATATGGATCCAGGCACCAGAAACTGTCAAGTTAGATTTCTAAAATTAAAATAAGATTAGAGCTGGGTGCAGTGGCTCATGTCTGTAATCCCACAACTTTGGGAGGCCAAGGTGGGTGGATTGCTTGAGCCCAGGAGTTCAAGACAAGCCTGGGTAACATGACAAAAACCCATCTCTACAAAAAACACAAAAATTAGCCAGGTGCGGTGGCACACAGCTGTAGTCCCGGCTACTTGGAAGGCTGAGGTGGGAGGATCACCTAAGCCTGGGGCGGTCGAGGCTGCAGTGAGTTGTGTTCGCACCATTGGACTCCAGCCTGGGCAAGAGAGTGAGACCATTGTTTGAAAAAATAAAGATTGAATGAATAATAAAAGAAGATTAGGCCTGGCATCTGTGACCCCAAGGTTCTATGGGAATCACTGACTTCATACAACCTACAATGATAAAGAAGGACACCCTACATATATATGACTGGCCTCTTTAGTATTGGAGAGAGCACATTCCATAGCTCATAACTTTCCGACAGTCTGTGAATCAAGTCACCAAAACTGCAGCTAAAGTTGAATGGAGGCCATGGAAGTAGTTCAGTGAAGTACAAAACAAGCACTGCTTTTGTTCTTGATTCTTTCCCCAAACAATGCACTCACATGTTTTTAATAAATTCTACAGCCAGTTGTAGCTATTGGCAATGAGACCTCCCATTATTGAGGCCCTGGTCTTTTTAACTTGAGGAATTCCAGCAAATCTAAGGAGTACAAGCTCTTTGAGAAATAACTGCATGATATTATTAAACTCTAATGAGAACAGATGATTTCACCAATGAAAAAGTATGACTTCATATCCTGCAAGGGTATTTCTCTAATCCAAAATCCTATGAGCTAGTACAAGTACAGAAACATTCCATAATAAATGGAAATGTCATTTTGATCCAGGCAAAAGTCAAGCATATCTGCCATTTGGCCCTAAATGCTTATTTGGATATTGTTGAGTGTATGTGTGTGTGTGTGTGTGTGTGTGTGTGTTTGTGTGTGGCAGTCATAGGACTCATTGCCCAAGTTTCAGGGTTTGGGGAAAAAGTTCCATTCTTTTTCTGAATTTGAGTAATAGCTTCTGGCTTACTACTGGGCCCTGGTAGATTCTGAATTCTATGATCATGATACAGAAAATGACCAAGTGACTTGAGATGCCCATTATGACCTGAGTTTTATCAGGTCACTCATGCTCACCAGCCCTCAGTCTGCAAGGGGAAATGGTATACACAGCATCAGTCTTTAGCAGGTTCCATAAGGCCAGGTAAGTTGCCTAATAATTTGTACTATACTCCTAATGTTCTTATTACCACTGGAGAGTCCACTCTCCCTTGTCTCATTATTGAGGTCTTGAGGAGTTCCCTAAGGACAATTGACTGTAGAAGGAAAAAAATTTGAGTATGCTTGGATACCCCAGAGTTAACTGTCAGGGCATTAGAGTCTCTTTCAGGAATCATCATTAAGAGTAATGGAAATAAAAATACTTCCAGTGAGAAGATGTTCAATTAGACCATCTGGAAGTGCAGTTTACCAAAAGGAGAAACGTCTTACTGTTGGGTCCTAATCAATGCACAGCAGTAGCTAGTAGTTTGCTTAGATAGTCAGTGACTTTAAAGGAATAAGATGGTAAGGTTTGTGATAAGGAGCGTTGGGGAGGAGATTTGAACCACTCACATGGCACATTTAGGTAAACATACCTACCCTCATGCTAACAAAAATGGATGGTGAAAAAATAAAACACAATGTAGAAGCATTGAGAGGCTTAAACTTTAATAAAAATTGTCAAATCCTAAATCACGGAATTGTGCATTTACTTTTTTTGCTGAGCTTATTTACTTAATGTAGGATAATTAAGGTTTAGTTTTCATGGCCTCCTAAGGCATTTGGAATAGAAGACAGAGTTCAGGTAGCACTCAGAGTGGGAAATTTAATAGAGTGTTCTCCTCATTTCACCAGGATCCCAAAGCCAGCTCCTCAGTATAAGGAAAACATCCTTGCTTGAAGGTCTCCCTAGAAAGTCACCTTGGTGCTGAGTGGAGAGGGGCAAAACCTTCTGCTGAGATTAAAGAGAAGTGGATTTGCAGCCCGAGTTCACACTCCCTGGGTGGTCTGAAAATCATCAAGCCATGAATTTATTTTAAAGTAGTGCAGACTCCAAGGAACCTTGGAAAATCAAGCAAAACTTCTCTGGAAAATTTCTACTGTCATTGGCACTCTGAAAATTCCAAAAAATCATTACACCAGCAAAAGGAGCACTTAACAGTTAAGAACAACAACAGAGAACAATGTTCATAAGAGACAAAGCACCGTGAAAGAACAAGAAAATACAACAGACAGCAGAATCATACAATCATATAACTGAGAAATCAGAATAATTGTATAGGATATAAAATTGCTAAATGGGCTATGATTAAAGAACAGATTGTTAAATACATTTAGTGACTATAAAACTATAAATAATCTTCAGAAAAATTTGAAGAGACAAACACATAACACTTAAGCATGAAAATATAATAATAAAATTTAAATCTCAATGAATTTTGAAGACAAACAATTTAACACAAACACACCTAGTAAAGTACAAGAAGTTCTAAAGAATGTACTTTAGTCACAAAAAGATATCCCAGGTAGAAAGTATGAGGTGAAAGAAAAAAACAAACAAAAAATAAAGGTAAATGGATGGTTAAATATAAATTGAGGTTTAAAAGGATAGTGTATATATTGAGAATCTATAAATATTGTTAAATGAAATACAAATTATTTTATCTTTTTCCAGGTCTAATGTTGGATTTCTTTTCTTCATATTCTGATTAAAATTTCAAGATAAACTTCTCACTCATAATGTGTCCCATTCTGGTTTTGTTTTGTACATTTCAGAATAATGCATATAAAAGAATATTCTGCGGGTCTTTTTATGGTATCTTTCCAAGCTATTGTTGGATTGTCCAGTACTTCACGTTCTCCAACCTTGTAAGTAACGAATGTACAAATTCAACTGTACATTTTTACTAGTGGGCAGTTTTCCACAATATGAATGCCATTCATGTAGTTGGCGGGACCTGCCAGTGTGTCTTTCAGAACCACGGACAGATCTACATGTTCTGGGATGTAGGGAGCTAGAGTGCTCTCTCAACTGGATGCAATGGAATGCCAGGGAGGAAAGTTTAAGATAAACTCTAGTCACCACGGAATTGTGATTTTTAAGCATAGTAAGCATAGTCTGAAATACCACATTCTTTCCAACCCCTCTCTGCACCCAATACGTCATTAGCCCTGTATTTTATACTCACTGTCATAAAAGAACCTGTTGGGGAAGGGGAGGTAGCTTTAGGTCAGTCTTGGTACAATCATACAGTGGCTAAATTAGTAGATCTAGTGTAAAATGGCCTGGAACTGAATTCTAGCCTCATATCTTCAAAATTATGGAACTTTGGGCAAGTAACTTAACATCTCTGTACCTAATTTTCTTGAACAAGTTACAGTTCACAGATTTCATTTATTTATTGTGGATAATAACATCCTTCTCATATGGTTGTGATAAATATTGAACAAAATAATCCATGTAGGTACAAAAACCAGTGCCTGAAATATAGCAAGAGCCTTTTAAATGCAGCCATTATTGTTATTATGGTTATTCTTATTGTCGTTTTTCACAGAATACCTTCTGGTTCCCACACAGGATCTCTGAGGACCTGTTGGATCAGCAGCTCTTTTGTAAGATTCGTTGATATTGTGAAAATTCTCTAATCACAGCCCAGCTACAATTTTACAGAAGTTCCCAATACCTTATCTGAAGGTTTCTTACAGTCAGATTATGAGTCTTGGTTGAAGGCATCTTCTGGAGTCATGGTAACACTCCGGGTATTCTGGGAAAACAGTGATTTCAAAATACAGTTTGTCTTGTTGAGACTAGGAATTTGGAAAATTCCAGTCTGTGAAGTGAAGGGAGAGGAGATACTTCCCTAGCAGGAGGAAGAGAATGTACCAAGTACAGGGCAGTTAAAGAAATGTTTGTTTGATTTTTTTGCCAGTGGTTATATCTGTGGTTTCATTAGTTAAATGCCTTATGTGGTACATTCTTCCCAATAAGTATTTTTAAAAGCCTCTGAAAGGAAGGAGCTCTTGCTACCACCATCCTCTCAGTCAAGTGGGAATAATCTGGTGAGCATAGCAGATGCCAATCAGTTCATAAAAAGCTCAATCTTCAAGTTTGCAGAATTAATTCTAAAAATGAGAAGAGTATTGGACATAGAATTTGACATATATGTTGCATGCAGAAGCTGATATTTTAGCTTTATAGTTTACAGGTCCCTCAGAATGTTTTATACTTTTTTATCATAACTGGGAAGCTGTCACTTTAATCTTTGAGTAGGACTAAGGTATGAAAAGAGCAATGATGGTGTGCTCAATGGCTATATTACTAAACACAAGAATGTTTTCAGCTCGATCTACCTGAGCTACATGGAGATTTGATAACTAAATATAAAGTGAATGGAGATAAATGCCTTACTTACCTTCTGCAGATGACACCTTCTAGTTAGCAAGTGGCAGATCCAGGACTACTGGGCTAGGAAGCTGCTTGGGCTGGAGTACAAGGGCAGTTTCAGGGATAGAGAAATTAACAGGCAGAGAGGGAATCTCTGAGACTAGGAAAGACTAACTGCAGCTGGGCCTAGATGATCTGAGATCCAAATGTAGCTGTTGATCTTAAATTATGCAAAGTAGCAATGGAACTGTCAGTCAGTCAGCATGTCTAGCTAGTCAGACAGATCAGGAGTTTAATCACTGACGTTATGGGAAATCAGAAAACTCTGGGATGGCTGGGAGAATATGTGCATATAGACATCTGTAGAGTGGGTGACAAATAAATGAAACCACCTAAATATTTACCCCAGGGGAGTAGGTGCATATAACATACTATGGAACAGCATTAAAATGATGAGTTAAACCATTTTTTCTGTGAAATTCAAAGGATGTTCATGATATAATAGAAATAAAAATATCAAATGGTAGGGCACTGTGAATACAATGTAATTTTTCAAAAGCTACAATGAGCAATAAGATGAAATAAAAGTCATCTAGATTAAAAAGCAAGAGGTAAAACTATCTCAATTGCAGATGATAAAATCTTATATAGAAATACGAAAGAATTCACTAAAAACAAGCTTAGCAACTACTAAACCACTAATACTAAATTAGTTTAGCACATTGGTAGGCTACAAGATCAAAATACAAAAATTGAGTGTGCTTCTATAGAGTATCAATGCATTAATACAAATGTTATTTAAAAATCCAACTTACAACAGCATTAAAAAGAATGAAGTCAGAAGAAAATTGAGGGCCCAGCAATACTCTTCACTTATATGGTTAATTGGTTTTATAAAACAGTGCTAATATAATTCAGTGAGGGGAAGAAATTATCTTTTCATCAAACAGTGCAGAAACAACAGTCTATCCCTATGCAAAAGAATAAAGCTGGATCCCTACTTCACACCACATATAAAAATTACCTCAGTGTATCAAAGACCTAAATGTGAGACTTAATATTAGAGAACTCTTAGAAGAAAACATAAGCATAAATCTTCATGACTTTGGATTAGGTAAAAATACCTGATCTTAAATGATACCAAAGGCACAAGCAAAAAGAGGAAATAAAAGATAAATTGAACATCATCAAAATTAAAAATGTGTGAGTCTAAGGAAACCATCAAGAAAGTGAAAAGAAACTCATTGAATGGGAGAAAAGTTTTGCAAATCTTATATCTGGCAAGGAAAGGACTTGTATCTAGAATATATAAAGAATGGTTGTAACTCAATATAATAATATTAATAATAAGATAATAATAAACAATAAATAATAATAATAATAATAATAAGACAAATAATATACAAAAGGCCCATAAGCACATAGAAACATGTTCAACATCATTAACCATCAGGGAAATGCACATCAACCCAAAAATGAGATACTATTTCCCACCCACTAGAATGGCTATAATTAAAAAGATAATAATTAGTGTTGATGAGAATGTGGAGATACTAGAATACTCACACTTTGCTGGTGGGGATTTAAGAGACATAGCCCCTTTAGAAAGCAGGCTAGCAGTAGCTCAAATTTGTGAACATTAAGTTATTACATGACCCAGCAATCCCCTCCTATGATACAGTATACCCAAGAGAAATGAAAACATGAGTTCACATAAAAACCTATATGCCATGTTTATAGCAGCATTATTAATCACAATCCAAATGAGAAGGACCAAAATGTCACCAACTAATAAATAAATTGTGATATATCCATACAATGGAATGTAATTCAGCGATGAAAAAGATGTGAAGTACTGATACAAGCTACGACCCACACAAACTTTGAAAATGTTCTGGTAAGTAAAAGAAGACAGACACAAAAAGCCACATGTTGTATAATTTCATTACATAAAATGTTCAGAATAGGTAAATCTGTAGAGTTAAAACATAGGTTGGTAGTTTCTTAGGGCTGGGGTTTGGATATGGATTTTTCTGCAGGGCTGGGAGGAGATAAAAGGATCTGTAATTGATTGTGGTAATGGAGGCACAACTGTGAATATTCTAAAAGCCACTGAATTGTATATTTTGAATGTGCGGATTTTATACTATTTAAATTATATCTCAAGTTGCCCTGAAAATGATTAAATTACATATAAAACTTATAGTCATTACAGCTCAACAAAAGCTACCAGATAAAAACACTCACTATGGTTTGCGTGCAAGTGAAGAAAGTAGACATGCAGAGAGTAGGCTGATACAATAGTAATCACCTTAGTTAAGTGGGTTTGGATTTAGTGAAAGGAGAGATTTAAAAGTATATTTATGCATATTTTGATTGTTTCATTTCCTACTGTGAGCAAGAATTATTTTTACACTAAAATTTAAAAAATAGAAAGTTACAAATCTTGAAAGCTCTGCAGTCAAATAAACATAGTAACAAGTGATAATGAGCTGTCTGGAATGTCTTCCTAGAGAACTGGCTGAAGCACATGCATGCAAAAGGAAGGCAATGGCTGAAGAATCAAGGCAGAACTGCAGTGGTAGAAGAGAAGAAAAATGTAAACATGGAGATATAAGACAAGAAGATGACTGATGAAGGAAGTGGACATGAATACTGTGAAAACCTCTTGGGGAGTCAGAAATGACCGGGTCTACGTGGGAGGGAAACTGGATTACAGCCCAAGATGGCCAGCCATCAGGGACAGTGTCCCGAATCAGATTCTGTCCCGAATCAGAAGGGCTGTCTAATCATTCCCTTTCTTCTCCTTCCAACACCCCAGCAAGATTATTGCCTAATTTACAGCCATGCACATTGAAGAATCAGTACAATTTGGAGACTTTGAGACAACAGACAGAAAATTTTTGAGCTCCTCTGGGCATTAGTGAGCTGTTTTCAGAAAAACAGACTCACTCTGGTATTTCAGGAATAAATAGAAATAAGAGCATACACTAATGTTTGGAAACCACGGGTAGCAAATATTGGTGAAGTCATGTGACAGGCAGAATAACGGTCTCCTAAATATGTCTGTGTCCTAATCCCTGGAACTTATAAAAATGTCTCCTAATAGGGCAAAAGGAAATTTTCAGATGTGATTAAGCTGAGGCTCTTGAGATGGGAAGATTATCCTGGATTATCTGGGCAGGTTCGATGTAATCACAATAGTCCTTATAAGTGAAAGGAGTAGAAAGCAGCATCAGAGTTAGAGCTGTGATAACAGAATCAGAGGTCAAAGTGATGTGACTGCTGACTTGGAAGATGGAAGAAGAGACCACAAGCCAAAGAATGCGGGCAGCCCCAAGAAGCTAGAAAGGGCGAGGAAACAGATTTTCCTTTAGAGCCTCAGAAGAAATGCAGCTCTGACGACATGTTAATTTTAGCCCATAGTGACCCATTTTTGACTTCTTACCTCCAGAACTATAAGAGAATACATTGGTGTTGTTTTAAGCCACATAGTTGTGGTAGTTTGTTATAGCAGCAGTGGGATACTATAATAATACCAGTCACCATTGGAGCTCCTGGAAGCTGCAGTAGGGAGGTCAGGGAAGCATATACTGAAGACTTCAGCTTGAAGCATGGATGGGAGGTTCTCAGAATCCTGCTGCGAGATTGCTATATTCTCCAGAACCTATGAGGAAGCTCTTATCACTCATCTTAGTCCGCACAAGCAAAGCAGGTGGGTCTCTAGCCTAGCAGGGAAGCCACTGAGAACCTGACATCTGCCTGCTCCTCCACCTGCAGCCACCACTGATGGGTACAGGTCTGTCCCGCCATCTCTCCAGGGCCCCATTTCTTATGCAAGTCTCTCTCACTGGAAAATGTAAACTGGAACTATCCAGGGAAGGGGATCCTGGGAGATATAGTGCCTGGCTTCTCCTCTGCAGAGAAGATGCTAGAGGGGAGATGAGGTGATACTGGGTTTTTAACAATGCAACACATGAGTTACTAACAGTGAATGAAGGGGGACTGGCTGACCTCAGTTTGACAAGCAAATATGCCATTAGCTGATGCAAACCATTGGTATATCTATGAGATTTAGTAATTTTAGCAAATTATTTATTGGAGCAAGGATGTATCAAAAACTATGAAAAGTGCAGGTTTAAAAAATGTCCAAAAAATTTCATATACAAATGAAATAAATTCTTTTTTTTAAATTATACTTTTAAGTTCTGGGATATATGTGCAGAATGTACAGGTTCATTACATAGGTACACATGTGCCATGGTGGTTTGCTGCATCCATCAACCCGTCATCTAGGTTTTAAGCCCCGCATGCATTGGGTATTTCTCCTAATGCTATCCCACCCCTTGCCCCCATCCCCTGACAGACCCCGGTATGTGATGTTTCCCTCCCTGTGTCCACATGTTCTCATTGTTCAACTCCTGCTTATAAGTGAGAACATGCGGTGTTTGGTTTTCTGTTTCTGTGTTAGTTTGCTGAGAACGATTGTTTCCAGCTTCATCCATGTCTCTGCAAAGGACATTAACTCATTCTTTTTTATGGCTGCATAACATTCCATGGTGTGTATGTGCCACATTTTCTTTGTCCAGTCTATCATTGATGGGCATTTGGATTGGTTCCAAGTCTTTGCTATTGTAAATAGTGCTGCAGTGAACATATGTGTGCATGTGTCTTTATAGTAGAATGATTTATAATCCTTTGCATATATACCCAGTAATGGGATAAATAAATTCTTAACTATGCTGCTATTTTATTTATTTAAAAATGTGAGTTCGTGGTCTGAGTAATTTACCTCAGTATGACTCAAGAAGGGCACTGGAAGTCCACTGATCTGGCCAGAACAGAACCACATATATGAATGGAAAAAGTGTCTTGTGTCTGCCAATCCCAGGGGCTTACAGGATGCTGTCTAGAATAGGCTGGCTACAGCAACTCCTAGTTAAGCCAGAAGTTTGGAATGAGTTCAATTTTGGGGGATTAAATTCTAATGAGAGGCAGAAAACAGGAAAGTTTATGCTTTTCCGTGCTGATCAATTGGCCCCATAAACATTTTCTTGCATATATTTTTGTAATTTCAAAAAAACTCGTGTTTTATCAGTAATTTCTTAGAGGTGCACACAGGGAGAGATGAGTATAATTGTGAAGCTAAGTTTTGTAAAGCACAGGGATGGCTAAGAAAGGGAAGGAACTGATCCCAGAATCCCACAGAGTTAATCAGTAACCCTCAGCCCAAGTACGTGATGGCTACTGTTGAGCTTCAAAGGAAAAGCGGCCATCTGAGGAGCAAACAGAATTGCATGAAGAATAAGAGTGTAGATGGTGTCCCAAACACAGTGCTGAGATTCATGTAGACACACAGAAGGAAGCAACTGTGTAAGTATCCAGAGTCCCATGAAGTAGGGATTTCAATCCTCCAAGCCACCCTCTCCCATCTGCTAACAAGGATCAAGGTTTTTGTGGATGTAACTGGCTGTGGTTGATGGGAACCCCTGTGATCTCTATGGGGTTACACATAGCTTCGGAGAGGGGAATGAACACACACACAGCAAAGGGAAACCATCTGGGCCTTTACTGAAACCATTGGCTGACCCCTGGGTTAAAGTACGTATGTTCTGAGTACTGGTGTTAATTACGTAAAGACCTTGCTCAGACCCCATGTCACCTCGCACTGCTGGACCTTTGCCTTGACCTCGACTCTCACCAATGACCTTATGGGTAGTTTCTATGACCAGCTGACTTAAGAGGAAAATTCTGAGCTTCTTCATAAACATGCCAGCTTAGTGTGTTGGTGTGAGGCAGCAGTAGAGTGTGTCTGCAGTGTGGGCAACTCAGGAATGAGTAGAGACAGCATTGAAGAGGGTCCTGCCAATAGGCAGGTGGGGCTCTGATTCACCCACTTTGTGTAGACAGAAGTGGCCTGAGGTGAGAATATGCACAGACTTATAGGCAACAGCAAGTGGCTTAAATAGCAGGTCAGGGGCCTGGAAGGAGCAAGATTGGAAGATCAGGAACAGGAATATCTGGAAAGAGGCATACAGTAGACACAAAGTGCTTGGATCTTTTGTATCAGATGTTACTACTCAGCAAAAATTACCCTCTATACAAGTAGTCTAAACAACCAGGTGTCCAGGATGAATCATTCGGTACACATCAGCCAGCCTCTGTCCTTAACCATCCCAGTGCTCATGAAACAGGCTCTTGAAAGCAGTTATCTATGGTGGAAGAGATGCACTGTGGGTGGGTCCCAAGGCTTGGGCTGCCTTCAGCATGGCTGACGTGGTTATTGTCACAATCTACTTTCCAGCGATAAATAAACTCCAACAGATTACCTTCGCTTATGGAAGCCAATGAGCAATTTGATGGCAAATTGATTCTATTCTTACTTTTTCACAATGAAAAAGGCAGGGGTTCTGTCAGATTTAGGTTGCCTTGTATTAGCGGTATGAGTTTGTTCTTTCTTCCCACAGTGCCACACTCAGAAACATTATCTAAGGGCTCACATATGTATGATCTTCTAATAGGGGACCCACATATCATTGCCCCAGACTAAGGGACCTACTTTATAGCGAAGGATGTCTGGTAGTGGGCACATAACCATGAGATCTCCTGGTTCTACCCCATACTGCATCACACACTCTGCGAGCTGATAGAGCAGTGGAATGGTCTCTTGAGGGTGCAGCTGGGTTTTATCTTGAAGATCACATCCTATCAGGATGGGTAATGTCCTTCAGGATGAAGCATACACTAAGGTTACGCCAGCAGCTGTTATATGGTGCCAAGTCTCCAACAGGTAGAGTAAGTCTCTAACCACCAGTGCTGGAAGAAGGAATGACTATACTCACCAGCACTTCCGGTAACCTGCGTGGGGTGTTGGTGCTTCCCATCCCCTCAACGTACTCAGCTGGTCTAGGAGTTTGGGATCCCAGAGAAGGAAGTTCCTACCATGGAACAGAGTACAAGTTACATTACGTTTAGGGGTATGTTTGTTACCTGTTCAATTTGGGTTCCTCATGCTAAGAGGCTGTTGGGAAAAGGAGGGGTTACTGTATAAGCAGGGATAATTGATCGTGATTATTATGAGGAGCAGAACTTTAATTTCTGTCTTAATTTCTTGCTGAAACTGGTAACAGTGGTTGCATCCAGGCAAGGAATTTGGAAGAATTGTGGATGGGGTGGAGAAGGAAATTTGCGTTGCACACTATACACATTTTTATTATTATAATCTTTTAAATATTGTTCTTGTATTAGCTATTCAAAATAAATTTTAAATTACAAATCAACCCCACATTTATTTAAAAAAATTTTTTTATTTCAATAGTTTTTGGGGGACAGGTAGTTTTTGGTTATGTGTGTGAGTTCTTTAGTAGTGAATTCTGAGATTTTGGTGCACCATCACCCGAGCAGTGTACTCTACCCAGTGTTGACTTTTATCCCTCACCCTATTCCCAACCTCCACCAAGAAGCCCCTAGAGTCCATTATGTCATTTTGCATGTTTTTGTGTCCTCATAGCTTAGCTCTCATTTATAAGTGAGAACATTCAGTATTTGGTTTTTCCATTCCTGAGTTACTCCACTTAGGATAATGGCCTCCAGCTCCATCCAAGTTGCTACATAAGGCATTATTTCATTCCTTTTTATGGCTGAGTAGTAATCCATGGTGTACATACACCACACTTTCTTTAGCCACTGGTTGGTCAATGAGCACTTAGGCTGGTTCCACATCCCTGCAATTATGAATTGTGTTGCTATAAACATGCGTGTGCATGTGTCTTTTTCATATAATGACTTATTTTCCTTTGGGTAGATACCCAGTAGTGGGATTGCTGGATCAAATGATAGATCTAGTTTTAGTTCTTTAAGGAATCTCCATACTGTTTTCCATAGTAGTTGTACTAATTTACATTCTCACAACCAGCAGTGTAATCCATCCATGCCAACATCTATTGTTTTTTGACTTTTTAATTAATGCCATTTTTTTTTTTTGAGACAGAATCTCACTCTGTCTCCCAGGCTGGAGTGCAGTGGTATGATCTTGGTTCACTGCAACCTCCACCTCCCAGGTTCCAGCAATTCTCCTGCCTCAGCGTCCCGAGTAGCTGGGACTACAGGTGCATGCCACCATGCCCAGATAATTTTTTGTATTTCTGGTAGAGACAGGGTTTCACCGTGTTAGCCAGGATGGTTTCGATCTCCTGATCTCGTGATCTGCCTGCTTTGGCCTCCCAAAGTGCTGGGATTACAGACTTGAGCCACCGCGCCCAGCCAAATTAATGCCATTCTTGCATGTATAACGTGGTATCTCATGGTGAACCCCACATTTATTTAGCAAACATTTATTAGGCAGTTACTATGTGTCAGGGTCTCCTAGCCCTCAATGAGTGAAACATCAAAGATTCCACAAGGGGACTAAAAAAACAGCTAAATGCAGGCTACTATAATTAGTGCGGGAAAACTGCTTCCAAGAGGATGCAATGTCTAAACAGAGAACTGGATGAGGAACACAGTTAATCCAGGTGAATGGCAGGAGAAATCTTTTAGGGAATCAGTATCACAAACAAAGGCTCAGAAGAAAGAACACACAGGGAGTCTAGGGGAACTGTCAGCAGTTCAGGGTAGAGATTAGAAAAAGAGGAGCACAGGGGCAAAAAGCAAGCTTGGAGCAGTGAGCAGATTCAATGACTAAGGCTTGTGGGGTTGGGGAGAACCTTTGGCTTTTATCCGAGGACAATGTGCAGCACTGGCAGCACTGAAGTCAGGAAGAACCTTGATCAGATCTGCATTCCAGAATATCACTTTGGTGAAGTGTGAAGAATGAACTGAGAGATGCTAGACTGAATACATGGAGAAGAAGAGGTTCGGGGAAACCCTGGCGGGAACTGTAGGGAGAATGTTAGGATGGAGGAAAAGGTAGAAAGGACCCTGAGAGATCTGAGTAATCAAGACCCAGTGTTTCACACATGGAAAATGAGGTGGAAAAGGAGAAACGTCCCCATGTGAACAGCACCCCATCTGGAAAAATGGCATAAAACAAGGGAATTTGGCCCATGACATAAGAGGTCCTTGGGCTCACATGGTATTGAGTGATCAGGGAGGAGTTTAGTTGAGTTCACCTCTACAGACAGGTATTGAGTGCCAGGTATGCTGTCATCAGGGTCATAAGGAAATCAAAGGTATCTGCCTCATATCTTTGTGACTTACATGTCTGATCCTGCTTAAGAACTATGCCAATCCCCGACTTTCCAGGACCCCCAGTAATTTTGTCGTGTCCATGTGGGAAGTGAGCTGAGGCTTGGCAAGAGGATCTTAGCCCATATGGTCCAAAAAATAGTAGAAATATTTCTTTAGAAGACACAAATTCCCTAATTAAATGGACTAATTTATCCATACAAGAGAAATAAAATCACTAAAAAATAAACTGAGTGAAGGAAAAGAAATCAATAAAGTGTAATTACCAGAAGTTCGTGGGATTCTGCATGAAAACAAGCTTGAAGAAATAGTGAAAGCAGAAGATTTGCCTAACAGTATGACACTCGAATGAAAAAAAAACCAGATAGGTTTAGTGGTGTTGCTTCTTTACAGATGCAGGAGGTTTGAAAAGTAATAGAGAAAAACATTTGGAGAGAACGCCATCTTAGCTTTCACACAGAATGCAAGACCAGCCTTTCCAGTGGGCGTCTCTTGATTTTTGTTTCCAGGGATTCGATTTCATAAACACAGCTCAGCTCTGCAGATCATCTGGCCCAGTCCAGGACCCGGGTTTGTAATGATCTTGTTCAGTCATGGTCCAGCCTGTGTATAGAGACCCTAAGATGATGCCCGGTGATCCTGTCTCTTGGCATCTCATCCAGCTGAGAACCGATGGGGCCTAAACTTGCTTCTAACCAATAGAAAGTGACAAAAATGATGTCACTTCCGTAATGAGGTCATATTACAGCCGCACTTCTGTATTACTAGATGACTCTGTCTTCTACCTTCTTTGTTTGCAAGTTTTGATGAAGCAGAAAGGCCCATGTGGCAAGGAACTGAAGTCAGCCTCTGGCCACCAGCCAGTAAGGAACTGAGGCTGTCAGTCTAACAGGCATGGAGGAATGAATCCTGCCAACAATTGCTTGAGCTTGGAAGTGGATCCTTCCCCAGTTCAGCCTCCAGATAAGACCCAGCCATGGCACTCTGATGAAAATCATGTGAGAAAGCTGCATAGCTGTGTCTGGATTCCTGACCCATAGAAATGTGGGATAATACATGTGTGTTGTTGTAAGCTGCTAAGTTTGTGGCAATTTCTTACATAGCAATGGATAGCTGAAAACACCTCCCACAGCTTTCACTGAGTTAAGCGACCCTTGGGGCCAGTTAGAACTTATCTCATCCCCTTCCCTGTGGCAGCCCTTATCTTTCTCATAGGTTGACATCCCACTTTCTCTTTACCAGTGTGAATGTCAAGTTCTCTTACTATCTCCGTCACTCTCCTCTCACACCATCCAGGAGGCCCCACTAGGGAGTGGCAGGCAGAGAGGAGGAAGTGTGGGGTGTGGGTAGACTCCTCCTCATGGTTCAACCTTGAGTGCAGGTATTACCAGTTGGAAGAAGAGAGGTCAGGAACCAGTAGGGATTGGATGGAGATGAGTGAACACCCCACCACTCTCAGGCCCATGCAGGCTGTGAAATAAAACCGTGATGAATAGACTCTGCATGGCCCCTGCTGGTCTTTACCCTTCAGCATTCTAGATAGTGCACCTCATATGCCATGATGCAAACACCATTGACTCCCTCCAGGGCAGATATAAATCTCCCTTTCCCCCGCATCCAGCAAGCACACTCCATCAGCCTATGGGTCACTTCAACCCCATGACTCCCCAGTCGGGACTGTGGCAAATGCAATAGACTTCAGTCCAGTCTCTGTGCCTGGAGAAGAAAGGGAAGCTGGTCAGAGCCCACAGGAGGAGGTGACCCACAGGGAGCCAGTAGTAGGTGGGTGTGAGGGTGAGTATGACAGAGCAGTTACTTGGGCTCAGCAGTCAGACTGTCTCCTTAGAGTCATGAGTCAGCCCACTGACAGTTACTAAACTTCCTAGTGACCTCAGTTTCCTTGTCTGTAAAATGGGGCTGATAGCTGTCTCTAGGTCATAGGGCTCTTGTGAGGTTTAAATGATTTAATTCATGTAAATCCCTTAGGAACGTGACTGACACTTTTTTTAAGGTACAATTCTGTAAAAGAGTGGGACCCATCCATTTAGGTCCTGTTTCCTTATTCCAGGTGTGATGAAACCAGCTCTCCCCAACACTTATCCTGACCCCCGTTCTATGTCTGCAGGTGGAGCGCTGTTCTGTCCCTTACAACCTATGGTGTGGGGGGCAACCAGGAAAAGGCCAGGGTGGTGCCAAGTATGAGGAAGTCACAGAGTAACACACACACATACACACATACATACCCATACCTGCTTATATACATAAATATGTACAGATACATACATATACGCACTTATAAACACGCACATACACATAGATGCCCATACCTGTTTATACATCCACATGTGCACAGACAGACACACGCACATTACACAGTCCCAATTCCTTGATTCAGTTTGGGGCCTGGGTAATTCCAGTTCAATCTCTTTTAAGAAATTTAAGAATCTGAAAGAGAAAGACCTGAGAATTTTTGTCCCACAAGAGACAGACCCACTTCCTAGGCACTGTGGGACTTTCTGAGCCCCATGTGGCCCTGCTCCTGGAAGCTCATGGAGGAGCGGGAAAATCTGACTTAACATCAAGGTTCTGAAGTCCAGAGGCAGCCCTAGGAACTGGCCTTCCCTGGGTACCAGGCCTCCGGGAGTCCAGCAGGTCCCCGGGAGTCCAGCAGGTCCCCTTCCTCCTATCTCACCTATGACGTCTCAGCCTGCCTTCCACAGCCAGGGCCCCTCCCAGGCTTTGCTGCACAGCAGGAATCTCCACGGGGCTCTAGAAGGAACAGGGACAGAGTTTAACTTAACCCCCTCGGGTGATGCACCCTCAGGTCCAATTTTTTGGTTCTAACATTGGTGATACCACTTTTCAGTCTTAAAATGTCTTTTTCGGCCGGGCGCGGTGGCTCACGCCTGTAATCCCAGCACTCTGGCAGGCCGAGGCGGGCGGATCATGAGGTCAAGGAGATCGAGACCATCCTGGCTAACACAGTGAAACCCCGTCTCTACTAAAAATACAAAAAATTAGCCGGGCGTAGTGGCGGGCGCCTGTAGTCCCAGCTACTCGGGAGGCTGAGGCAGGAGAATGGCGTGAACCTGGGAGGCGGAGCTTGCAGTGAGCTGAGATCGCGCCACTGCACTCCAGCCTGGGTGACAGAGAGAGACTCCGTCTCAAAAAAAAAAAAAAAAAAGTCTGTTTCTTTTCTGATTTGCAAAAAGGTTTATAACTTTTGATACTCACATCTGCTACTTTCTATTAGAACCTAGCAGTCCTTCGTGGTACTTTCATCTACTGTGTCTCTGCCGATTCCGTTTCCTGGTGTTTTATCTTCTGGTTGCGTTAAAGATTATATGTAATTGTTGGGCACAGAGGGCCAGGAAAGAAAAAGATTCCCGGTGAAGCTAGACCCAAGTACCTCACTGTTGACAAGGGTAACTACTGTCCTTTCCTATTTACCTCCCTGCACTCCTTCTTCTCTGTCCTCCCTCCCCACCCACCCATGGGAGAGCCTCAGGAGCCTGGGCCAGAATCCCCAACCCCGCAGTAGGGAGGAGGAGGAGGAGGCGGCGACGGAGGAGGAGAAGGAGGAGGAGGAGGAGGAGACGGAGACTGTTCGGTCTCCTCTTTCCTCAAATATGGATGCCTCCAAGGAACATAATTCCAGCTCCAAGAGGTCCTGACGTGGGGCCTGGAGGACCCCAGTACCTGCCGGCAGCATCATCTCCTTGCCATGCTCCAGGTGTCTGAGCAGCCACCTAGTGCAGTGACCCATCGGGGCTTCCCTTGTGGCCTACGCGGTCCAGAACCTCTCCCAGGTGTGATGGATCCTCCAAGCCGCTCTTTGAGCCGCTGTCCAGGTCTGCAGGTCCTCGTTCAGGGACATGAAATCTCCTTGTCGTAGGCGGACTTAAAGTGTCCTTCGAGGAAGCTCCTGTCCGGAGCCACCACCCAGCCAGGCAGCAGCATCTGCAGGTGCGGTGCCCTGGACCTGCCCCAGGGTGAGCCGGAGGCGGGGCCAGGGAGGGGAGGGAGGTCGCCCCGCCCACCCCAGCTCCTTCCTCCCTCTGTCATTGGTCACAGAACAAGTCAGTCATGATCCAGATTGAAGGAGAAACCTGGAGCAAAATGGCCCCAGCGCTTCCCCACCTGAGAGGGATCAGCTGAGGCCCCGCCCCCCCATCCCTGGGAGAACCGGGCTGGTCACTCTGGGTCGGGGCGGGGCACACCTGTGCCCGGAGTCTGAGGTCACTCACCGGCTGACCCTGGTGGTGGTGCGGGCCCAGGAACCTCAGGCCCCTCAGTAACACATTCCCTGCGGTCTTCGAGAACTTTCCTCAGGGCGCCCACAGCTCTGTGCCATCTTCTCCACCCGCACTTCACGCTCTGATTCTCGCCGCGGCTGTGGAAGCTCAGGAATCGCGTGTCGCCCACGAAGGCGCCGCTGAGGAACTCAGGGCCCACGTGGTGAAGGCGGAGCCCGGCGGCCTTCAAGTACCCGGGGTGCGGGCCTGGGCTCCGGGAACCTACACATTGCGGGCGGGAGAGGCGCAGGGTGCCTGGGACCCCGCCCCGCTCCCCTCTCTCCTGGACGCCGTCGCCCTGCCTCCCCGCGGGGACACAGCCTCCCTCCCACGTCCCGCCAGGCACCGGAGCCGCTCACTTGGGAGCTTCTTACTGTGTGGGGGGAGCTGGGGAGGGGACAGAGGGACGGGAACCAGGGGAGGGTGGCTTGGGACGGCGGCTCTGGGAGAAGTGACCTGAGGAGTCTGCAGATCCCAGCCCGGGGCGGAGGCGCCGCGAGAGGAGCTACTAAGCCCTCCAAGCCGCCCTTTCCCTCTTGCCTCCCCAGCCCAGTTCATCCTGATCTTCTCACCAGCCCAGTTCTCCCCAAGGTCAGGGCCCACAGAGGAACAGGAAGGGGGTTCCGGGACACAGGATCCGGCTTCTCTGGGTATCTTGGAGTCCAGGAAGGATCCTGGAGATCTCCCACTTTATGAAGCTCATCCTCCACTGACTCTGATGGCTTCTCTAGAACCCGAGACCAACTGATAAAGGCGTCCCATCTGGACGCCCTTATCAGTCCTGGGGGAAAAACAAGAGCCAAGGGTGAGAGGTGGCCATGAGGTCAGGGAAACCCCTGCAGAATTCTCAGGAGAGGGAATTTTTCAGAGCTGTGGCTTTGGCTTAGTTTGTCTTCCCACCAGCCACCTGTCCTAGAGCTGGAGATGCTTAAGTTTAAACCAGAGACTTTGGATATTTTCCCTGAGTGACATAATCCTTGTCTTTCTCTCCTGGAATCGTGGGTCCAGACCATCACAGTGATCCAGTCGGCCCCCTCTCCTTCTTCTCTCACTCCAATCTCTCTCCCTGAGCTGGACTCTCCGCCCACCCTCACATTCTGGAAAAGTGCAGTGGTGTGAGCATGGCCCTGGGGCAGAATTGTCTGGGTGCAAACCCGGCTCCATCCCTACTTTTGTGTGATCTTCATTCCTATGGTATTAACTATGAAAGGGAAAAATAACAGGCACAAGCCATGGATGTGTAGTCAGAATAAAATGAATTGGCATTTTTAAAGTGCGAAGACCACTATTTGACACATAGCACAATAAAAGTGTAAAATGTTATCATTCTTGTCATTTCTTTAGGCCCTTTTTCTTGAGGTCTTCCTCTTCTCTTTGGGTTCCCATGAAAATTTACCCTGTTGGAAGTTGATGTCAGCAAGAGACCTCCTCTTGGGAAATGCTGGCTCAGTGTGGGGCCTCCCTTTTAGTAAAGGGAAAAACCGATGGTGGACCAGTAGCTAGTGAGTCAGAGTCCATTTTATTTAAACAAGATCACCTACCTAGAATTAACTCCATTTTGATAAGGACATGCATCTCACAGATAAGCCCAGTGTAATTTATGAGGAGATTGCTTTATTTGTGTAGAACTTACTCTAGTGCTTTTCATAGTCTTGCAACACATTTTGAATCCCTGGTTCTCATTTCACACTGACTGCCTCACAGAGTGAAGACGATGAGAAGTATCTTCATACTATATTCCCACGTTCGTCTATCGGAGTCACAGTCATATATTACATATGCAGATATTTTTCCTAGAAGTTTGAATTTATTGATATAGATTTTAATCTGGAATAGATAGATATTACCTAACATTTTTGTTTTTATTACCTCTAAGTTACACATGCTTAAGTAGTCACTACTGATACCTATGCATTTTCTCCCTTGGCATGTGACATTGACATAAAAATTGTACATTGTACTTTAGTTTTCAGCAATTATTAATTATGTAATTTGGATCATCCCTCCCATTGAGTACTACTGGACAAGTGGGAAAAGGGTACATATTTGAAAAATCTGATGGAAAGTATGAAGGGGCTAACCAAGCAGTAAAGATTTGCCAGGCCAGGAACCAGGAGAAGGCAGAAATCTAGAAGAGCAAGTTGAGCTGCAGGGTTGCTTTTGTCCTGGGTGATGTTGGCTGCTCTGGGCAGTGTCTGAGACCTTTGAGGGCTAGGTGGATAAAGCCTACATCTAAAGGCTGCGGGTGCATATGTGGCACTGTAAATCCCTGGGATTAGGATGGGTCCCAAAGGGCTGACCCATAAGAGCAACACAGTCAGTTCTCAGGAGTGGCAGCTCAATTTTTGTTTGAGTGGTCCAGCAGTTTTCACTGCTCTTATTAAAAATTGTAATTGAGGATCTTCCCAGTGTCATAAAGAAGAAAAGAAATACACTTAAAAAGGTTTGAAAAGAAGGCACAAAACTCTTATAATTTGCAAATGGTAATATGCTGAATGCAGAAAATACAAATGATTAGAACACTCTTGAAGTTAATAAGATGCATATATATATAAATATATATATATATATATATATATATATATTTTTTTTTTTTTTTTTTGAGACGGAGTCTCGCTCTGTCGCCCAGGCTGGAGTGCAGTGGCGAGATCTCGGCTCACTGCAAGCTCCGCCTCCCAGATTTACCTAGGCCATTCTCCTGCCTCAGCCTCCCGAGTAGCTGGGATTACAGGCGCCCGCCACCATGCCCGGCTAATTTTTTGTATTTTTAGTAGAGATGGGGTTTCACCATGTTAGCCAGGATGGTCTTGATCTCCTGACCTCGTGATCCAGAAGTTAATAAGATATTTTTGCTTGGTAGGTAGAAGAAATTATAGAGCTGTTTTGCACAGATATAAAATGAAAATTTAAAAAAATTGATTCAGCAAAAGTGCGTACATATAAACTTCTAAAACTAAACCTAACAAATTCTGTACAAGATATCAATTGGGATATTTAAAAAACCCTACTGAGTAATAATAGAAGACAGTAATTAAAGAAGACAGTGAATTAACTGAATCAATTTACCAGGATCCTGGCTTGGATGGTTCAATATAATAATGACATTAATTTCCTACAGGACTCTTAAGAACTCAAACACATCTCAATCAAATGTTTATCAAGCATTTTTGCAACACATAGTAAGCCAATTTTAAGCCTTATATTGAAATATGAAAGAGAAAAAGTAGCTATGACACTCTAAATAAGAATAATAAGCAGAGAGAATTTCCTTAGCAGATATTAAGACTTATGTTAGAGTTATTTTAATTAAGAGAGTCGAGATGTTGAGACAGGGTAGTAAACTAGAACTTGGGAACAGAATAGAAAGCCCTGAACGTATGTAGAGCAGAGGCAACATTACAGATCAGTGGGTAAAGGAAAACGATTTAGAAAATAATTTAACAACAATTGGTTATCTATCTGGAAAAATGCAATTGTACTCATCTCTTGTAAAAAAATGTGATTGTACTCATCTCTTTACAGTAATATAGTAGAATATCTTCATTACTTTAGTGTAGGGAAAGATTTTATGCAGGTTACAACAAAGTATTAACCCCAGGGTAATCTTTGACAGGATTAAAGACATTAAAGTTGAGCTCCCAGATTATTTGGGGTTTTCCATTCCCCAGTGGACAGCGATAAATGACTAAATGTTCCTCTGGGAAAGTCCTGTAAAAAGAATTTATCTCGGAGTGAATTATAGGGTCCTTTCTCAAGGGCACCAGCCTTCTGCTTATTTGAGGGGCTCTGACATATCAGCTGGCTTTGGTGTAGCTACCGGATAAGAATTTCTGAATATCCAGGACTCAAGGTTGGTGACTGCTCAGCAGACCTAGCAGTTTTTATACCTGTATGTGTCACGTGGCACCTTAATGCCTTGGTAAGGGGGGCATCCTCTCAGCCCTCCCGGGAGATGTGGTTAGGAGATGTTAAGTAGGTTGCACATAATGGATACATTCCCACTTTTCTGTCTCTCTGAGCTGTGTTCAGACACTTTCCTCTGCAGTATGCCTGTGATAGGGATTCTGTTGATATAGGCTAGTGGTTTTCACAAACTGTTGCATATAGCAAAATCTGGAGAGATGATTTGTTTTAATAAACTCAAGGCTCTAGCCTGTTAAATTAGAATAATATCTGGGCCTGTGTAGTTTTGCTACAATTCCCAGATGATTTTGATACATACCAAATATTGAGAACCACTGCTTTGAGCTACTAGTTTTTAACTTGGCTGTTGATTGGAGTCAAACCTGGAGAGTTTTAGGAACAATACTGTTTCCAGGATCCTACTTTTGATGAATTAGATTTCATTGGTTTTACATGTTGATCTAGACCTGGGGCTATTTAAAATCTCCCACGTGATGGAAAGCGCAGTCAAATTTGAGAAACACTGTGCTAGGCCACAGTTGAATTCGGGTTTTAATTAGCTAACCTGGCTGACTATTAACATCACTCTTAGGTGTTCAAAATAACACATTTAATCTAAGATACTGGGTGAAGATCCCATATTGATGAATCCAGGCCAATCACATCTCATTTCTCCCTATGTCAATACTGAAAGCTAAGGGGAGAAATCCCTCCAACCAGTGCTCCTCATCACTCTCTCCGTGATGATGCTCCCATTTAGCCGATCCCAAATAAAAGCCAGAAAGCAAGGCTGCCTTTTGTGGTCCAGCAGGCCATGCAGCACAGTGTCCAGGACACGGAGCAGGGAGAGTACATGGAGCGTGGATCAGGAGTGCACAGAGAAGATATCAGCAGACCTGCCCTCTCCATTGCACTCAAAATCACACTGGATTTCCTAGCTAGTGCAATCAGGCAACAGAATATATCAACTACATGAATTAATAAAAGCTTTAAGCAAAGTCATTGAATTAAAACTATATAAAATTATTTATATTTATACATACCACAACCAACACTGAAATTCAACAAAGAAAGAGATACTGTGAACACTAGCACCATATTTCAAGATCTTTGGAATAAATCTACTAAAAGATGCACAAGTAAAACCAGCAATACTTTATTTAAGAGTATTTAATAAGTAAACATTACATGTTCATGGATTATAAGTCTCAATGTGGCAAAATTTGTCAGTGCTCTCCAAATCTGATTACTGAATGAAATCTCTATTAAAAATAAAATTGTTAAAGGTACTTGGAAAGGTGCCTGTCAAGCTAGGAAAGTTGCCAATGATAGAAAAAACACTCCTGAAGTGAAAACTCAAAATTTATGGATTTACTTCATTGTATAGAGAGACATATTATAAAGCCGTGGATTATCTTGGGATGATGAAAATGTTCTAAAATTAAATATGCAGATTTAAAACTCTGAATATGTGAAAAACCATTGAATTGTATACTTTAGATGTGTGAGTAGTATGTGATTTATATCTCAATAAAGTTTAATGAGGAAAACATAATGAGATATTTTGAAAAATGCACTAGAATTTCTATATTAAAATTATTGAGTTTTCCAAACACTGATGAGAATACAGACCATCAAGATCTACCACACATTGCTTGCCACAGCCACTTTATCTAGCAGTGTGGCATCATCTCTTTGAGTGGGATATCATACACATATACCAGTAACTCCACTCCTAGGTGTATAATTTTGACAGATATGTGCCCATTGTGCCAACAGACTAGTGCTAGAAGGCTTGTAACAGCATTGCTTGTAATTTTAAAAAATCTGACAACAAATGAAATGACCATAAACGAGAGAAGGGTTAATTTAATATATGATGTATTTATTCAATGAAATGTTACAAATAATAAACATGAATACTCTACAGACACCTATAAAAACTTAGCAAACATACATTTGATCTAAAATGAGGTCTTGTAAGAATATACACAGCATGATTCCATTTGTATGAAAAATTCAAAATTTATATAAAGTTTGAGATAACCTGTGTTGTTTTAGAAATATATGCATGGGGTAAAGCTTTAAAGAAAGACATGAACAGGATTACTATGAAATCAGAATGAGGGTGAACTCTAACGACAGAAAAGGGATTGTTATTGCTATGGGAATTGGTATGAAAACTTCTGGGTTTTTTTTCTGAGTTTTGTTTCTTTTTCACACGGATCTTCCCTTTAAAACCATGTGTTAAAATGTAAATGTAATTCAAGCCCTTCACTTTTGGTTGTAACTTAACAGTGTAAAACTGGTTTTAAAAAAAGTAATGTTAATTATTTATCTGTAGTTGGAAAAATTAACCTTTACTCACAAAAGGGATGGATTTCCCCCTACACCACTCATCAGAGAAGAGACCATGAATTGGAATGGGAACTCGGAATTGTCATCATCCTATAATTCTACTCAGGATTCTGTCCTTAAAACATTGGCACACTGCTGTCCAGCTCCCTTCTGTAGTGATGGAATGCCTATATCTGTGCTGTTCATTACGTCAGTCACCGGCCACCCATGAATTCTGAGTATTTGGAATGTGGCTAGTACAAATGAGAAACTGGGAAAACTGACTTTTAAAATTAATATAATTTTAATTGATTTAAGTGTAAATAGTGTCTTGTGGACAAGGCAACATTACAAAAACAAAATGCAGCACCCGCTGTCTCTGTCTTTTTGTTCAGCCATGCATCGTGTGAATGACAGCTTCATTGTTACTAACTTTGAAAAGACCCCATTTCGAAGAAAAATGGAATTTCAGCTTCTTCAGGGGTGAGACTTTCTTGAACTCAGCATCTAATAAAATACCCAAACCACACAAAAGGACCCTGTTTATCTCTGTTCTCTCTGGGTATAGAAAAACATGCTGAATTCTTATTTGTATGAGAAATAAAGGGGTTTTCAATGGGAAATTTTTCTGTAAGGTGAGAAATTTATTCTAAATATAGTTCTCTAATTTCAAATGTTTTATCCAAGTTGCTTATAATTATTACTGTTTGGCTACTATAGTGTAAATATTTTTCAAATCATCTGAAATTTAAAAATATAGCAATATAATTCTATGCTGTGTGTGAAAAGGATTAAAAACAAGGTAAGCCTGTGTTAGCTTGGTAAATTATCACAATATAAGAGTGTTGTACAATGTACCAAGTTTAATGTAAAAGATGATGAACACCTCACACAGCCTGTTAATCAGAAACATTTCACTGTGAATGTGGAAGGGAAGATGAACAGAATTTTAAACACATTGGGTGTGTACAGAGGATCAGAATCTTGAATTTAGCATCACTTTTATATATTTTTTATTTACTTAGAGAGACTTTAGCACTTACTATGTCTCAGGCACTTTTCTAGATGCTTTTGATGCATTAAAACACATTTAATCCTTGTATCAACTTTAAGAAGTAGCCACCATGCTAATCCCAATTTACGGGTGAGTAGTAACTTTGCGTAACTCCAGCCAAGGGCGTGATAAGCTTTTACAGTTCTTTTGTAGTTTTTATTCCTAAAACATGTCTTTCATTCATCTTTTTTCTAATTAATGTTCAAATGTATCTAGCAACTGGTTATGTTTTGTAGGATAATTTTTTTGTCATTCATTCTACAATGATTTAGCTTAGCATTAAAAGTTTATGGAATTTCCTTTTAGTTTGTAAACTAGAAACAAGGTAGGCATTTACTTCTTGTTGATATTCCCCAAACTTCATTGTACACAACAGCTTCTCTCAAATAGGATCTCACAGAATCAGTTCAAGTTTGAACTCCTAACACTAAAATTTTACATTAAAATTGTATTCTCTGTTGCCCAGGCTGGAGTGCAGTGGCACCATCATAGCTTGCTGCAGCCTTGAACTCCTGGGCTGAAGGAACCTCCTGCCTCAGGCTCTTGAGTAGCTGGGACTACAAGGCATGCATCACCATGCCTGGCTTGATATTTTCTTTTATCAGATAGCAGAGTGAAGCACTTGCATTACAAAAATAAAATACATAAAAATTACGACGACTTTGCCAATCTAACATATGACTTCAAATGGTAGTAGTTAAATTAGGAGCCAGTCAGCCACTTTCAAACATGTTTTTCAAAATGAAATTTTAAAGACAGTGTCATTGTTTACTTGTACTACTACTCATAGGTTTAGCTGTGGTCCTGCTATACAGTTTGTTAAGAAAACTTCCCTGAGTTGTTTTAAATGGTCTTTTGAAAGCCAAACGCTGCAATCCTATAATCATTGGAATTGGGAACAAATGATACATTTCTAGGCTTTATTTTATTATAACTTAAAATCTTAGTGATGGTAGGATTATTTTTCCTTATTGATTTTTTTCTAATATATTTAAAGCCTTGATAATTGTGTTCAGTCAGTTGTATTTTCTGCTGAATCATTTGACCATGTGAGGAAAGCAGATTTTTGGACTTTTAGCCCATCTTGACCAGAGGGATCAGCACAATGTGCACATGTACCCTAAAACTTAAAGTATAATAAAAAATAAAAAAATAAAGATAAAACTAAAAAATAAAAAACAGAAAAAAAAACCTGGAATGAAGAATTTCTTCCTGTGAACACCTTTTCTCTTGTGTGCATTACCCCTCATTCACACTTCTGTGCATTCATACATTTGTGATTGCACTTTTTTGTATTAATTTGGAATCATTTATTAATTCCACAGTCAAGTTAATAAAATGGTTAAAAATAAATTTTACATGAATTTTCTCAAAATTCATTACTTGATCCATTTATTCATTCTAAACCCATGTCAAATACCATTCTTTAAACCTCATCTTGTATTAAAGTTGCTTTCATTTATTAATTCAATCAAATGGCATTGAAATTTGTAGCAAGAGGCATCTAAGAAGGCAGAATGTTTCTATCTGTTCTGGGATTAATGGGGGTAGAAAGATGTGAAAGGCCGAGGGAAAAGAGGCCTCACAGAGGCAGCCCAGATATGATGACACCTGCCTCCCTGGCCAGAAGCCAACTTCCAGGATTCAGGATTCAGGAGTAAAGTGTCCCAATATTCAGAAGGTTTCCTGGTCTCTCTTGAATTCAGTGCTCATTTGGCCAGGGCTAAGACCCTCACACACTTTGGTTTGAGGATCCAAGCATAGAATGTGGCTGTCTCTGGGACATTTCATACTAAAGAAGCCCAGCACGTATAGACAAAGGGTCTAGAGGGCACCAGCCACCCTTCCATGGAGCTCTGTTCAAGGCACCTCCCCGTGCTCCATTACTTATGTTGGCCATGTCCTCAGGAGTTTAGAGAAATGGCCGTGTTGTCTCTGAGTGGAAGTGAGGGGAGGCCACCAGGGTAGTCAGGATTTTGAATCCCTGTGTCCTTTCCCTCCATCTCTACCAGAGACCACTTGTGGAAGTCCAAGAAAAAAAAGACACGAATGTCAGAGGTGAATCCAGGCCCATGGATCCATTGTGGTGAAGGCACTGAAGCCAAGTGGCCCAACAGTGATGAAGCCTATGAGGCCTTGGTCACCTCAAAGCTTCCCCCATTAGGAGCTGCCTCTTACTGCCATCAGGGACCCCAGGAGCTGGACATGACATTCTTTGTCATTTCTCATGAGGCGCTGGAGAGGTCCCAGAGCATATAGACCTTGATCGAATTGGAGCCAGAGTGGAGTCAGGTAAAACTCTCCAGTGGGCAGTATAATATGTTTGCTCTAATTTGCTAGAGCTGCCATAACAAAGTACCACACACTGGGTGACTTAAACAACAGAAATTCATTGTCTCACAGTTCTGGAGGCTGGAAGTTCAACATCATGGTGTTGGCAGTGCTGATTTCTTCTAAGCCTTCTTTCCTTGGCTGGCAAATGTGTTCTCTCTATGTCTTCACATGGTCATTCCTCTGTATGTGTCTGTGTCTAATCTTCTCTTTTTATAAAGACACTAGTCACATTGAATTAGGGCACACTCATATGACCTCATTTTACCTTAATGACCTCCTTAAAGACCTCTCCATATGCAGTCACTTTCTCAGGTACTGGGGGTTAGGACATCAACATGCCAGTTTTGGGGGATACAATTTAGCCCATAACAGTCTGATTATCCTTGAGATTGCATTTTCTAAAGAATAAAATAGAGTAAATCTCTTTGGCTCTTGATACTCTGAAATTTTGTTCTTGCAATGAGAACAAAAAAAAGGAGAGCCAAAGGTTGGTGTCACCCAGAGGGTGAGCCCTCCCTGACTCTGGCTACCCCAAGACCCGGTGCTGTGTCATACCAGAAAGCCTTGCTCCATTCTAGTGATTCCGGTACCAGCCTTTCAACTGGAAAGAGGATGCTTTCCCAGGGGAACAACTTCTCCTGCTGTGCAGGCTTATTTTCTTTATATTTGGAGGACAAAAAAAGTTGATGTAATAAAAAGAACTTATTTGTCAAATTTTTTTGGTAATCATTTTGATATCCTTATCAATACCCCATATTGTGATGAATATGTTGGCTTCATTTTGGTGGAAGGGACATGACGCTGGTCCTTTTGAGCCTGAATTTTCTCGGCCCTTCCATGGGATTCAGTTTCTGCCATGATGGATAAGGGGAGAGCTCTTGGTGTAGGGTTTGGTCTTTATAATGAACCATGCTGTTTGGGCAGCAGGTTTATCTCTGGAAACTTGAAGGTTAGGCAGGAGTGTGACCCTCCTCCCCATTCAAAGGGTCAGGGTAGAGCAGGTTCTTGTTCAGGGTGCAGTGAGTGAGAGAAGGGAAAGTGACAGAGCATTTTTTCACCTTTTTGTGACATGCATGCATCCAAGTCTCTGGTGTTTAAAATAACTGAAACTGAGATCTAGTTCCACTTACCTATAAAGTAGAACTGTGGAGAAGGAAGCATATCATCCCCGCCACTGGAGAGATCCCTGAAGAGAGATTCGTGAGACCCCTTTTTATCGAAAATGACACAAAATTTCATCAAAATAAAGTGAAATTGTGGCTGTAGATGGGGCTTTATTTAGAGCTTCGACTCCCCACCTGCTTCCTAAGACATGATCCTTCCCCAGGATACTATAGAATCACAGGGCTTAGACTGGAGGGGTAAGGCGTGATGGTGTTCTTCCTTTTTGGCAGATAGGATGTTTTGGATTGCATGTATTTTCCAAAGACGGCTACAAAAATATCTAAATATCTTCCATCGCAGTTGCTTTTCTTTAGTTTGACCCACCACTCCCTCATCAAGAGGTAAGGTCTCTCCACTCCTTAAACATAAGCAGATCTGATATCTGCGTTACCCAATAAAATATGGCAGAAGTGTGGCTGTGTCAGTCTGGGCACTGCTGTTAACCAGCCTGCCTGCATCTGGTTCCTTCCATTTCAATCCCTGGACCATGTAACACTTCCAGGCCATCATCTGAGCCCAGCCAACACATAGAACCCTATAAGAGATCATTAAAAATTCTTAGTTACTATTTTCATGAATATCCTTCTCTATCCTTCCAATTTCAACTTTTGTGTGTCATTAGATCCAAAGTGAGAATCTTTTTTTTTTTTTTTTTTTTTTTTTGAGACGGAGTCTCACTCTGTTGCCCAGGCTGGAGTGCAGTGGTACGATCTTGGCTCACTGAAACCTCTGCCTCCCTGGTTCCAGCAATTCTCCTGCCTTAGACTCCCTTGTAACTGAGATTACAGGTACCTGCCACTACACCCAGCTAATTTTTTTCTATTTTTATTAGAGACGGGGTTTCATCATGTTGGCCAGGCTGGTCTTGAACTCCTGACCTCGTGATCTGCCTGCCACAGCCTCCCAAAGTGCTGGGATTACAAGTGTGAGCCACCGTGCCCAGCCAGATTCTTTTTATTCTATCCATTGTGATAATCTCTGAATTCTGATTGGGGAGTTTAATCCATTTACATTTACATTTAAAGTAATTACTGATAAGGAAGGATTTACTTCTGTAATTGTGATGTTGGTTTTATGCATGTCTTATAGCTGTTTTGTCCCTCATCTCCTTCATTCCAACCTTCTTTTGTTTTTAGTCATTTTTCATTTAATCGATTTTTTTCTAGTGATATGTTTTAACTGCCTTCTCATTTTCTTTTGTGTATATTTTATGTATATTTCTTTGTGATTACTGTGGCATTAGATATAACAATACAGTTATAACAATCTTCAATTGAAACCAATATGAAACTCTGCTTCTTTACATCTTTTCCCACCCCTCATTTTACGTTATTGATGTCACAAGTTACACTTCGGCAGGCTGGCAGGCTGGAAAGTCATAATGTTGCAGCCTTCAGTCTAAAATTTGTAGACCAGGCTGGCAGATTGGAAACCTAAAGTGTAGTTGCTACTGTCATCTTGAGGCAGAATTTTTTCTTCTCTGGGAAGACTCACATTTCGCCCAAAGGCCTTCAAGTGATTCAAAAAGTCCCACCCACATTTTTTAGGGTAATTTCCTTTTCATGAAATCAACTGATATCAGATTTTAATCACAACTGCAAAACACCATCATATCAACATATAAATTTAGTGTTTGATTAAATAACTAGGTGCTATGGTTTAGTAAAATTGACACATAAGACCCACCATCCCAGTCCATGCTTGTGAACTTGGCACCCATTAACATTTTCCTTAAACCTTACTTCGTCTCCAAATAAAAACAACTATAAAGTCTTACTTTTGCCAAAGATGATACAATTAGCTTGCATCCAACTAGAAACACACTAACCCTTTCCTCAGAAAAAGATTCAAACTGAATGCATGATATGCACTCTTCTCTTTGATGTACTGTAACCCAAATACCATGTGTAATAAAAGTTAAACTTTCATTAATAAAAGGGAATGATTGTTAGCACATCTTACGTTTTATTACAGATGATCAGGAAAAGATGAAAAGAAAGGTATTTGCTCAATACATGTATGGATACATACACACAGACATAAATATCATTATAAAAACATGAAGTAATGCTGATAACATTTACTGTCTTTATTTCTGTAAGTGCTCACATGGTTACAGCTGGTTATTTATTTACTTACTTATTTATTTGAGACAGGGTCTTGTTCTGTTGCCCAGGCTGGAGTGCAGTGGCATTACCTTGGCTCACTGCAACCTCCACCTCCTGGGCACAAGTGATCCTCCTACCTCAACCTCCTAAGTAGCTGGGACTACAAGCACACCACCAAGTCTGACTAATTTTTTGTATTTATTTTCAGTAGAGATGGAGTTTCAGCATTTTGCTCAGGTTGGTCTCACATTCCTAGACTTAAGCAATCCACCTGCCTCAGCCTCCCAAAGTGCTGGGATTACAGGCATGAGCCACTGTGCTGGCCACAGCTAGTATTTATAAATACTTTTTTTTTGTTGTTTTTCACTAACCATCCCATATTCCCATTGCTTTCAGCAAGTCCCTCAGCTGATCAGGTTTCTTTTCCTGCTTGGATGACTTAAACCTTCATTCCTGAAGGGTATGGGTCATTAGTAGTCCTACCTGACTTAGGTTGTTGTAGTTTTTATTGACTTTAATTATAGGGCAGAGTATTACTAAGAGATGCTCTAAAAGACCTCCTGTGTTCCAGACATAGTCCTATTTACCGCCATTGTGTAGTAGCAGACCAATTCCCCCTGATGACCAGGACCAATCACCCCAGACAGTGCAGTAACTCCTTCCTTTGTTGATTCAGAATCATGAGGAGCTGAAGGGCCCAGGTGGCTGTCTTAGCTTCCAGCTGAATGGTTCATTTCTGTGTCTCCTGTAGGAGCATTCCTCCTTTTGTAAACCTCTAGATCCTGATCCTGTTCCTCCTGACTGGGCAAGATCTCCCAACCAGGGTCTCCAGCACCTCCTACAGGTGTGTTCAGGCTGGCAACATGTCTGTACTTTTCCTGGAACAGACCTCCCAGAAGAAGGGGCAGACTGCCATCTTTCCTGTTACATAGCCTTCAATGGTGATACCTTCAGGTACTGGAAAATCTGAGGCAACTAGAGACTGGAGCAGGCCCCCAGCAAACTGTAGCAGCCCTGCAGAAAAGTGGCCAGAATGTTAAAAGAGAAAACAAAAGAAGAGAAAAAAAAATCCACTCAAAGGTCAGCAACCTCAAACATTGAGGGTAGATAAGCCCATAAAGATGAGAAGAAATCAGCGAAAGAATTTGATAACCAACCTGACAGAGCTGAAAAACACACTATAAGAATTTCATAGTGCACTCACAAGTATTAATAGCAGAATAGAGCAAGTGGAGAAAAGAATCTCAGTGCTTGAAGACTGGCTTTCTGAAATAAGACAAGAAGATGAGACTAGAGAAAAAATAATGAAAAGGAATGAACAAAACATCTGAAAAACATGGGATTATGTAAAGAAACTGAATGTATGAATGATTGGTGTACCTGAAAGAGATGGGGAGAATGGAATCAATTTGGAAAACATTTCAGGATATGATCCATGAGAACTTCCCCAACCTAGCTAGACAGGCCAACATTCAAATTCAGAAATGCAGAGGACCCCAGTAAGTTACTCCATTAGAAGATCATCCCCAAGATAAATAATCATCAGATGCTCCAAGGTTAAAATGAAAGAAAAAATAAGAAGGGTATCCAGAGAGAAAGGCCAGATCACCTACAAAGGGAAGCCCATCAGACTAACAGTGGATCTCTCAGTGGAAATCCTATAAGCCAGAAGAGATTGAGGGCCAATATTCAACATTCTTAAAGAAAAGAGTTTCCAACCCAGAATTTCATATCCAACCAAACTAAGCTTCATAAGCAAAGGAGAAATCAGATTCTTTTCAGGCAAACAAATGCCAAGGGAATTCATGACTACCAGACCTGCATTACAAGAACTCCTGAAGGAAGTACTAAACATGGAAAGACAGTTACCAGTCACTACAAAAACACAATGAAGTACACAGACTAGTGACACAATAAAACAACCACATAAGCAAGTCTTCAAAGTAACTAGTTAACATCATGATGACAGGATCAAATCCATACATATCAATACTAACCCTAAATGTAAATGGGCTAAATGCCCCATTTAAAAGACATAGAGTGGCAAGCTGGATAAAGAACCAAGACCTATCAGTATGCTGTCTTCAATACACCGATTTCACATGCAATGACACACATAGGCTCAAAATAAAAAGATGGAAGAAAATTTACCAAGCAAATGGAAAGCAGAAAAAAAGCCAGGGTTGCAACCATTGTTTCTGACAAAACAGGCGTTAAACCAAAAAAGATAAAAAAAGACAAAGAAGGGCATTACATAATGGTAAAGGGTTCAATTCAACAAGGAGATCTAACTATCTGAAATATATATGCATCCTATACAGGAACACCCACATTCATAAAGTAGGTTCCTAGAGACCTTGAAAGAGACTTAGAATCTCACACAATAATAGTAAGAGATTTTAATACTCCACTGACAATATTAGACAGATTATCAAGACAGAAAATTAACGAAGATATTCAGGACCTGAACTCAGCCCTGCATCAAATGGACCTGATAAATATCTACAGAAGTCTTCACCCCAAAGCAATGGAGTATACATTTTTTGCATTGTCACATGGCACTTACTCTAAAATCGATCACACAATT
The DNA here is from genome assembly GCF_000001405.40 of Homo sapiens. Classification (NCBI taxonomy): domain Eukaryota; kingdom Metazoa; phylum Chordata; class Mammalia; order Primates; family Hominidae; genus Homo; species Homo sapiens. Next base: position 2,632,866 of record NT_167246.2, read on the forward strand.
GGAAGTAAAACACTCCTCAGCAAATGCAAAAGAACTGAAATCATAACAAATAGTCACTTGGACCACAGTGCAATCAGATTCAAAATAAAGACTAAGAAATTCACTCAAACCATACAATTACATAGAAATTGAATAACCTGTTCTTGAACGACTTTTGGGTAAATAATGAAATTAAGGCACAAATCAAGAAGTTCTTTGAAGATAATTAGAACAAAGATACAATGTACCAGAATCTCTGGGAAACAGCTAAGGCAGTGTTAAGAGAGAAATTTATAGCATTAAATGCCCACATCAAAAAGTTAGAAAGATTTCAAGTTAACAACCTAAAATCACAACCAAAAGAACTTGAGAACAAAGAGCAAACATATCCCTAAGCTAGCAGAAGACAAGACATAATAATAAAAAATTAACAAAGGTATTGTCTCCTGAAGGAGACAGAGACATGAAAAACCACTCAAAAGATCAACGAATTCAGGAGGTTTTTTTGTTTGTTTGTTTTTTGTTTTGAGATAGAGTTTCACACTTGTTACCCAGGCAGGAGTGCAGTGGTGTGATCTCGGCTCATTGCAACCTCCGCCTCCCAGGTTCAAGCGATTCTCCTACCTCAGCCTCCCGAGTAGCTGGGACTATAGGTACCCGCCACCATGCTGGGCTAATTTTTTGTACTTTTAGTAAAGATGGGGTTTCACCCCGTTAGCCAGGATGGTCTCCATCTCCTGACCTCATGATCCGCTGCCTCAGCCTCCCAAAGTGCTGGGATTACAGGCGTGAGCCACCGTTCCTGGCCACTACCACTGACATTCTTCACAGAACTAGAAAAAACTATTTTAAAATTCACCTGGAACCAAAAAAGAGCCTGAATAGCCAAGGCAATCCTAAACAAAAGGAACAAAGCTGGAGGCATTACACTACCTGATTATTATTTTTTTTTTTTTGAGATGGAGTCTCACCCTGTCATCCAGGCTGGGGTGCAATTGTGTGATCCTGGCTCACTGCAACCTCTGCCTCCTGGGTTCAAGTGATTCTCCTTTTCTCAGCCTCCTGAGTAGCTGGGATTACAGGCACATGCCACCACGCTCAGCTAATTTTTTGTATCTTTAGTAGAGACAGGGTTTCACCTTGTTGACCAGACTGGTCTCAAACTCCTGACCTCATGATCCACCTGCCTCTGCCTCCCAAAGTGCTGGGATTACAGGCATGAGCCACCACGTCCAGTGTATGCTACCTGATTTCAACTATACTTCAAGGCTACAGTAACCGAAACAGCATGGTACTGGTACAAAAATAGACATATAGACCAATGGAACAGAATAGAGAACCCAGAAATAAGACTACACACAACTATGATCATTGACAAACCTGACAAAAACAAGCGATGGGGAAAGGATTCCCTATTCATAAATTGTGCTGGGATAACTGGCTAGCCATATGCAGAAGATTAAAATGGAACCCCTTTCTTACACCATATACCAAAATCACCTCAAAATGGATTAAAGACTTAAATGTAAGATCCAAAACTGTAAAAACCCTAACACAACCTAGGCAATACCATTTAGGACATAGGTATGGGCAATGATTTCATGACAAAGATGCCAAAAGCAAGTGCAACACAAGCAAAAATTGTCAAATGGGATCTAATTTGACTAAAGAGCTCTGCACAGCAAAAGAAACTATCAACAGAGTAAACAACCTACAGAATGGGGGAAAATTTTTTGCAAACTATGCATCTGACAAAAGTCTAATATCTATAAGGAATTTAAACAAATTTACAAGAAAAAACAAAACAACCCCATTAAAAAGTGGGCAAAGCATATAAACAGACACTTCTCAAAAGAAGGCATACATGCAGCCAACAAACATGAAAAATGCTCAACATCACTGATGATTGGAGAAATGCAAATCTAAACCACAATGAGATGCCATTTCACACCAGTCAGAATGGCTATTATTAAAAAGTCAAAAAATAACAGATGCTGGCAAAGTTGTGGAGAAAAAGGAATACTTATATACTCTTGGTGGAAGTGCAAATTAGGTCAGCCATTGTGGAAGACAGTGTGGTGATTTCTTGAAGACCTAAAGAGAGAAATACCATTCTACCCAAAGGAATATAAATTATTCTATTATAAAGACATAGGCACACATATGTTCATTGCAGCACTATTCACAATAGCAAAGACATGGAATCAACTTAAATGCCCACCAATTATAGACTTGATAAAGAAAACGTGATACATGTATACCATGGAACACTATGCAGCCAGAAAAAGGAATGTGATCATGTCCTTTGCAGGGACATGGATGGAGCTGGAAGCCATTATCCTTAGCAAACTAATGCAGAAACAGAAAACCAAATACTGCATGTTCTCACTTATAAGTGGGAGCTAAATGATGAGAATGCATAGAGACATAGAGGGGAATAGCACACACTGGGCACTGGGGTCTTTCAGAAGGTGGAGGGTGGGAGGAAGAAGAGGATCAGGGAAAATAACTAATGGGTAATAGGCTTAAAACCTGGGTGATTAAATAATCTGTTTACCAAACTCCCACAACACAAGTTTACCTGTAAAACAGCCTGCACTTGTACCCCTGAACTGAAAATAAAAGTTAAAAAAAGGAACTGATCTGTGGATTTTGCCTATTGCTGAGTAGGTCTATTTCAATTATGCAAACAAGCACTGAGGAAATAATCACAGAGTGGTCAGGGGCCCACTGGAACCACTGTGAGAATGGTTCATGTATGTTAGGGCTTCAGGTTTTCTATTCTTCCTAATGTAATCTTGGCAGGTTGTTTGTTTCCAGGAATTTATCCATTTCCTCCAGGTTTTCCAGTTTGTCAGTACACAATTGTTCATAATAGTCTCTGATGGTCTTTTGTACTTTTGCAATATCAGTTGTAATGTTTCTCTTTTCTTTTCTGATTTTGTTTGAGCCTGTTAGAAATAAAGCTTGAAGTCACAAAGAAAATGAGCACTTGAACAAAGGATTTCTCAGCAAGGCAATTTTTACTTCTGCAGAAGGGTGCTACCCATAAGCCTGATTGCCACAAGAGCACCCATAACAAGGGAAAGCAGGGGTTTTTATTCCTAACGCAAGTTGTTTCTACTATTGTGTCCTGTCTCCATTGGCTGGAGCTGGACCGCACAGTCTAAGCTGATCCCAGTTGGCTAAAAACTTTAACTTTCCTAAATAAGGTAAAGGTGCAATGGGGAACAAAGGAAAGGAGGGGGTCACTTATGGGAAACCAGGAAGACAATAAGATTTCCAAATAAGGCAAGAGCATAGGCTGCAAGCTGGGACATGTCTGGGCATGTCTGGTCAGATCAGGCAGACTAGGAGTTAGGCCTTGGTTCAAGTACAAGAACATAGAATGTGTTTATTTCTTTACTGTATGTAACAACTACTTGGAGCACAATAAAGAGTCATTAGTAAATTAGAAGATTTGTTAGTATGAAGAGTAAGGGAAACTTAAAGAAAGATTTTTAAGAGGAACTATCTTCTTTTTTTGTTTGTTTTTTGTTTGTTTGTTTTGAGACAGAGTCTCACTCTGTAGCCCAGACTGGAGTGCAGTGGCGCAATTTAGGCTCACAGCAACCTCCGCCTCCTGGGCTCAAGCGATTCTCCTGCCTCAGTCTCCCGAGTAGCTCGGATTACAGGCAAGTGCCACCAAGCCCAGCTAATTTCTTTTTTCCTGTTTTCTTTTTTTTTTTTAGTAGAGGCAGGGTTTCACCATGTTAGTCAGGATGGTCTCGATCTCCTGACCTCATGATCCGCCTGCCTCGGCCTCCCAAAGTGTTGGGATTACAGGTGTGAGCCGCTGCACCCGGCTGAGGAACTATCTTCTTAACACTTATCATTCTTAACCAAAAAGGAAAACTTTGGAGAGGTACTTTTATTCTTTACAGTTTCCCCCTCTTGATTTTACAGTTCTTCCTCTTCAAATCTCCTTAACATATCTTGATTTTGTTGCTCTTCTTAATCAGTTAGAAAGAACAACTTATCTGAGTAAGGGTGAGGAGAATTGAAAGGGGTTTTGGTAAGAGCCTTTTCTATAAGCCTTTGCACTAATCCACGAATGCAAGATATAATACAACATTCTACAAGGATAAGTACACTGATTATGAGAGCCAGTGAGGTGAGAATTGAGGACATGAGTCCTTTCCACTTAGCAAACCACCTTTCCATTAAGCTAGTGAAAGGATCATTTATTCCAGAGTTTTTAGCTAGTTCATTTGATGAAGCAGTAAGACCTTGTAGTGCTTTTATTATAGTTCGATCAGGGGCAGTATTATTAAGGATAAAAGTACAACATTGAGTTCCAATCATAACACAAACCTTGCCTTTTTCTGCTAGTATCATGTCTAGTGCTGTTCTGTTTTCCCAAGTCATCTGACTGGTGGGTCCTAGTTGCTCAGCTATTCCCTCATAGCATCCCTTGTGCAATTAATGGGGTCAGCCCCCGCCAGGCCAGCCACTCCGTCTGGGAGGGAGGTGGGGGGTCAGCCCCCGCCCGGCCAGCCACCCCGTCCGGGAGGGAGGTTGGGGGGCAGCCCCTGCCCGGCCAGCTGCCCCGTCTGGGAGGGAGGTTGGGGGGCAGCCCCCGCCCAGCCAGCCGCCCCGTCCGGGAGGGAGGTTGGGGGCGCCTCCACCCGGCCACTGCCCCGTCTGGGAGGTGGGGGGGCACCTCTGCCCGGCCGCCCCATCTGGGAAGTGAGGAGCCCTCTGCCCGGCCGCCACCCCGTCTGGGAGGTGTACCCAACAGCTCATTGAGAACGGGCCATGAGGACGATGGCGGTTTTGTCAAATAGAAGGGGGGGAAATGTGGGGAAAAGAAAGAGAGATCAGATTGTTACTGTGTCTGTGTAGAAAGAAGTAGACATGGGAGACTCCATTTTGTTCTGTACTAAGAAAAATTCTTCTGCCTTGGGATGCTGTCAATCTATAACCTTACCCCCAACCCTGTGCTCTCTGAAACATGTGCTGTGTCCACTCAGGGTTAAATGGATTAAGGGCGGTGCAAGGTGTGCTTTGTTAAACAGATGCTTGAAGGCAGCATGCTCGTTAAGAGTCATCACCACTCCCTAATCTCAAGTACCCAGGGACACAAACACTGCAGAAGGCCGCAGGGTCCTCTGTCTAGGAAAACTAGAGACCCTTGTTCACATGTTTATCTGCTGACCTTCCCTCCACTATTGTCCTATGACCCTGCCAAATCCCCCTCTCCAAGAAACACCCAAGAATGATCAATAAATGCTAAAAAAAATAAAAATAAATTTAAAAAAATGAATCATTGCTGATTGTAGTAAATATAATTTACCCAACCTACATTTTTTTTTTTCGAGATGGAGTCTCAGTCTGTCGCCCAGGCTGGAGTGCAGTGGTGTGATCTCGGCTCACTGCAACCTCCAACTCCCAGGTTGAAGTGACTCTCCTGAGTAGCTGGGATTACAGGTGCGTGCCACCACACCCAGCTAATTTTTGTATTTTTAGTAGAGACAGGGTTTCACTATGTTGGTCAGGCTGGTCTCAAACTCCTGACCTCGTGATCTGCCCGCCTTGGCCTCCCAAAGTGCTGCAATTACAGACGTGAGCCACTGCGCCTGGCTATCCAATCTATATTTTTATTGATAGTCACCCACCTGAATAATGACTTAAATCCTGCAGCTATTTGGTTTCAAGCTTTAAATTCATCTGGTACTCTAATAGCATCTATATAAACGTTGGGATCAAAAGACTCACAGGAACAGTTCTTGTACTACGATGCCTAGTTGTTAATTTTTTTTGTGAATGAAATGCCAGGGTGAAAGAGATAGCCAATTGAATTAGAGTGCAAGTACCACTCCAGTTATTTGGCAGAGTCTCCCACAAAGGTGCACCACAATACCACCATACATCTGCTCGGGGATGGATAAGGGAGGACTGATGGGTTAGCTCTTGGAAGTGCTTGACCTCACTGCATCCTGTCAGGTTTCCAAGGAAAGCCAGGTTTTCTCCCTGTTGTGAGAGACAAGAAGCAAATTTGGTCCCAGAAGATGGAGGCTGAATGGCCTTCGGGGGCTGACCCGCAGGATGCTGGACCTCAGGGAATAGCAGAGAAAGTGTTTGACATGATTTATTACCCCAGGCTGTGGGGTCTTGGAGCAGAGCTACCATGCAGTCCATATCTGGTCTATTACAAGACTATCTCAGTGGAAAGGGGACAATTTGGGCCTCTGGTTTACCATGCGCCCAAGCATAACAATTGCTCTTATTTTGACTGTGGATGGAATATTTAATCCATTCCACCCAGGCAGTTGCATCCTGAGACCTTGCTTCAATGGCTAGAGTTTGCCTCAGGTCTTTTACTTCTACTTTAGCTACTTTGGTTTTGTCACTGGGTATAGGTGGGGTGATGGTTTGAGGAAGATGTGATAGAGAGGTGGAAGGGGCAATAAAGCAAATTTCAAAAATTCCCCTAGGATCCTTTCCTGAGATGTTGGCCTCTATGCCATAAATATGACTTAATGAAAGGGAAGAGTTTTGGGATGTTGCAATAGTAATAGTAAGCTGAATAGGATTACACTGGTTATATGGACAATCAGAAGAGGCAATCCCTTTTGTAAAATGGATATATGGCTTTAAGGACTGGCAAAGACTGGTGGGAGCAGTCCAGCCTGGACCTTTGTTGTTCCATAGGACATTAGACCAAGTATAGCATAGGGACTCTGCTTTAAGGGGACAAGAGTCCCATTCCCACCAGTTAATACAGCTACTATTTTTGGGGTTATCATGATCTTTACAAGAATTTGTTATATCTTTCCAATCTGAGGAAGTTCAAGAGGGACAAAGATATTTATCTGAGGCAGTAAGCTGTCTTTGGTCCTGTAAATTTCCACAAGGCATGACTAGAGAAGCATCAAAGGTAATAATTTTGGGCAAACTTGATCTAGTTACATTAATGATGAGATGGGGGCAGTTAAGGGAAAGAAAAGAAGAAAAAGAGATAGATTAAGTTTTTCTTTTTATTGTTACTCTGGTGGGAGTTGACGGAATAATGGTCCATGTCTCTGGAGAAGGTGACGCCTACTTGACTCGAGTATAATGGGTCCACCCTTTCTCAGTGGTCCGAACTACTGTTTCAGTTGTTGTGAGCACCAGATAGGGTCCTTCCCAGGTAGGCTCAAGCTTTCCCTCTTTTCAGCCTTTGATAAGGACGTGTGATCTCCGGGTTGATGTTGGTGGGCCCGGAATTCAACGGGTGGAGTCTGTGCTACCAGACCTTGAGTCCTGAGGGAAGAAAGAGTGGAAGACAGACCAAATACATAATTTCTAAGGAACTGATCTTTTGTTTCGATCATAGGAAGGTCAGTAGTAGTGTTTAGATAAGGTAACCCATAAAGCATTTCATAAGGAGACAAGCCAAGATCCCTCTGAAGAGAAGTTTGGATTCTTAGTAAAGCAATGGGAAGAGATTTTGTCCATGGTAGGCGAGTTTCTAAAATTAATTTGGTTAGATGACTCTTTAAAGTTTGATTCATTCTTTCTACTCTCCCTGATGAAGATGGAGGCCAGGAAGTATGATATTCCCATTTTATCCCTAATACTTGGATTAGTCCTTTAATAATGTACATGGTAAATTGGGTCCCATTATCTGAATCAATGTTCTCTATTATTCCAAACCTGGATATGATATGTTCTAACAGACCTTTGACCACATTATTGGCTGTTGCACTTGGAAAGGGGATGGCTTCTACCCAGTGGGTAAGATGATCTACTATTACCGGTAAATACTTAAGGCGGCCTATTGGGGGCATTTCAGTAGAGTCAACTTGGACACTTTGAAATGGCCTTAACCCAGGATTTCTCCCCCCGGGAGGTTGTCTTTTGAGGGTCTGCTTATTAGATTTTCTGCACACTATATAACTTTCCACCATTTGCTTGGCGAGGGTGTATATTCTTATGCACCCATAAACCCTAAGGACTGCATCACACATGGTTTGAGGACCCCAGTGACATCCTTGATGAAGCTGTGACAATATTTCCCTCATAAGGTTTGGATAACATTTCCCTTCCATCTGGTAATACCCACTTTCCTTTTGAGTTTTCTTCAGCTCCTTTTTTTTTTAGTTTTTCCTGATCTGTTTGAGAGAAGATAGGGAGTGCAGCTGAAGATGGAAGACAAGGGGTTAGTCGAAAAATGGGTTCTGCTGGAGAATAGGCAGCTTGCTTAGCTATTTGGTCAGTGAGATTATTTCCCTGGCCTTCAAATAAAGGATTCCTTTGATGTCGTGGGACATGTACAACAGCTATTTCTTTTGGCAATTGTATATTTTCTAGTACTTGTATTATTAGGTCCCTATGGTCTAAAATTTGACCTTTGCTGTTAATGAGGCCCCGCTCAGTCCAAATTTTTTCAAAAGTATGGACTACTCCAAAGGCATACCTGGAGTCTGTATAGATTGTTGCTTCTTGATTTGCAGAAATTTTAAGGCCTGATTTAATGTGAACAACTCACATGTTTGTGCAGACCAGTCATTTGGTAACCTTTCAGACTCTATTTCTGTGAGGGTATCTCCATCTATCGTTGAATACCCGTTATGCCTTTTTCCTTTGATTACTCGGGAGGAACCATCTACAAACAGGTGTTTCCCAGTATGAAAGGGTGTTTCATTTAGATCAGGTCTAACTTCTGTTTGATAACTAATTAAATCTAAACATCTGTGCTCTGGGCAAAGATCAGGGGTCTGTGGGTTGGGGTTTCCTGTTAAGAAAGCAGCTGGATTAATTGAGTCATCAGTGGTTAAGATTAGATCATCTCTTTCTAACAAGATGGCTTCATACTTTAAAATTCTTGAATCAATAAGCCACCTTCCCGCCTTCTAATTGAGAATTGTTCTCACTTGTTGAGGAGTACTAATGATAAGATTTCCCCAAAGGTTAATTTTCTGCTCTCCTCTATGAGCAAGGCTGTTGCTGCCACTGATTGGACACACTCGGGCCATCCATGGGCTACTGGGTCAAGAATTTTTGACAAGAAGCCTATGGGTTGCCAATGGCCTCCGTGTGTTTGAGTAAGTACCCCTAAGGCTACTTCATTACCTACATTAACAAAAAGATGAAAGGGCAATTCTAAAGAGGGTAAGGCTAGAACATGGGCTGTCACTAGTAACTCTTTTAATTTTTTTATCTGCTGTATTTCTTGTAAAACCATATAAGGGGGTCCAATTCATCCTGTGTAAGTTTTTTTTATGTAGAGGTTTGGTTACTAAAGCATAAGAGTCTATCCATAAGCAACAATACCCTACTAACCCTAAAAACTTTCTAAGTTCCTTCTTTGTCTCAGGATATCATATGAAGGATATGATGCCTTCAATCCATTCAAATCCAATTCTCCATTTGCCCTTACTGATTAAGTCCCCTAAATACTTGACTTCAGGTTCTACAAACCGAAGTTTGCTTTTTTGACACTCGTAACCCCTCCAGTTGCAAATTATTTTTAAAAAACCTATTGAAAATCCTTCCACTTTTTGTCTATCCTCCCCTGAAATAAGGATATTATCCATGTATTGGAGCAGGCATATATATTGTGGTTTGTAAAACTTTTCTATGATCTGTTCTAGTATTTGACCAAACAAATTTGGAGATTCTGTAAATCCCTGGGGCAAAACTGTCCATCGATACTGTTATTTTCAACCAGAGTGAGGGTCCTCCCATTCAAAGGCTATCTTTGCTAGTGGGCAAGCCCAGAAGGCATCCTTTAGATCTATTACTGTGAACCACTCATGGTTGTAAGGAATTTTACTAATAATAGCATAAGGATTAGGATCGACAGAGTGAGTTGTTTGAACTATTTGATTAATAGATCGAAGATCTTGCACTAGCCGATATGACCCCTCTGGCTTTTTCACAGGCAGTATGGGAGTGTTATAAGGAGACATACAGGGTTCAATGAGTCCACCATGGAGAAGGCTTTCCATTATGGGCTTTAAATTGATCTTAGCTTCTAAGGGAATTGGATATTGTTTTCTTTTTACCTCTTGCCCCAGGTTTTTCAATTTAACTTGGATTGGGGAAATTTGTAACTTTCCTCAGTTTCCTTCCTTTGACCATACATCTGGATGGATGTATCCCTCATTTAGAGTAGCAAGCAAATTTAAGGAGGGGAGGAGATTTCCTTGATTAACACAAAGGCCTAGGTTTAATTTTAGCATTAAATCTCTTCCTAATAGGTTTGTTCCTGCCTCCAGGATTAACAGAAGTTTAATATTTACTGAGTGTTTCTGATATTTAATTTTTGTTTCTTCTAAGACTTTTGCTTTAAACCCCTCCCCTTTTGCTCCCAAAATAAAAAGTTCTTCTTGTGACCAAGTTACACCAGGGGGAAGATAACAAACTGAGGAATCAGCAGCTCCTGAGTCAATTAAAAAGGTCTGGGTCCCACCTCTAAATTTAATCAAGGGCTCTTGGTGGGACTCGAGGTAAAAAGAGTAGAGCCCCTGGCCCCCCATTCCTCCTCAAAGATCATAAGTGGGGTGATTTCTTGTTCTTTTTTCCATTCAGGGCATTCTCTTTAAAGTGACCTTCCTTCCCACACTTGAAGCATTTATTCTGCCCTATTCCTCTTTTTATTCCCTTGTTCCCTGGTTTGATTCCTTTACCTCCATTATAGGGTCTGGCAGTCGGGTACCTAAAAGATTTACCGGCGATATTTCTTTGAGCTGTCTATTGGGGAGTTCCCTGCTTTAAGAACAGCACAATCTTTGCCTTGTGCTTTTGCTTTTCTTCATCCCTTCGTACATACACCTTTTGGGCCTCCCTTAAGAGTTCCTTTATGGGACAGTCCTTTCAATTTTCTATCTTTTGTAATTTCTTGGTAACGTCTGGCCAGCTATTTGTGACAAAGTGAAGCTTTTAACATTCCTTGTCCAAGTGGGTCTCCTCCATCTAAACCAGCATATTTCCTCATTTGTTCCTTAAGCCTATTAAAATATTCCATAGGCCCCTCTTCTTTTCCTTGCTGTATATTAAAAGCTTTGGTCATATTCTGGGTGCGGGGTACTGATTCTCTAATTCCTTTTATTATCATTTCTTGCAGGTCTCTCATATTCCTCCTATGAGCTATGTTGTTATTATCCCACTGGGGATCTTGAGCAGGAAATTTCTGTTTGGCTGCAGGGACGTTTTGACCGGGAGGATGCTCACACTCCCAGATGGTCATAGCGGCCCTATGCATCATGCTCCTTTCTTCCCCTGAAAAAAGGATGCCTATGATGGACATAAACTCAGCCCCAGTATACAACTGGGGTCCTAAAAATTGATCAATTTGATCTGCCACTCCATAGGGATCGTCTAAGAGTGGCTTGAGTTCCCTCTTCAAGCTCTGGACTTCCGAACTGGTCAGGCGAGCATTTAAAAAGCCAATGCCCGCTCCTCCTAGAGGCACTTCCCTCAGTGGGAAGAGGTTTGTAGCCAAACCCCTAGAGGAAGGGGGAAAAGGGAAGTTTTGGATATCATTTTTACATTGTTCTAACTCACGTTGAAGTCTTCCTGAGGGAGGGCATTCAAGCTGGGGATGACCCCAAGAATCAGGGTTAAAAGGAGGGAAAAAAAGTCTGAGTAGGGGAAAGGTCTGGGACTGTTATTTCTACTGAAGGGGGAGGTGGGGGATGTTGGTCTACTGGGTGGGGGGAAGAAGTTTTGGTGGGGGAAGATGGTCTAAGGCATCCCACGTGTTGGTGGGGTTCTTGGAGTAAGGGGTATTAATTTCATGAGAAGTAGTTTCTGGCTTGTCTCCTTTGGTTTTTAGATGACAAAGGAGGATGGGCCCTTGCTGCCAACACAGAGCATAATGTATTTCCTCCTGGGAAACAGGACTCTTATCATTTACACATTCTATTAAAAGTTGGCAAGTCCAAGCCTCATTTGACCCGAATTTTGGCCAGAAAACTGAAGGCTTTAGAATAGGTTCCTTGGTCCAAATGAAACAATAATACTTTATCATCTGTTGCTTTTTCTTATGTTTAGTCCTCTCGTATTCTTCCAATATTTTAACATGAGTCCTAAAGGACTATCAGAGGTGATTTCACTGTTTGCCTTTTCCTTTTTACCTTCTGTCTTACTCAGGGTATTTCCCATGTTGAATACTGGTTAGGCTCAGTCCCTCAAACTAGAGATTTCTTGCCTATCCTTCCCTGGAGGTTTAACCCCCACCCTGGAGGTTCCTTGCAATCTTCTCCTTTTGCTTCATCCACTCTGGCTGCTTTCCCAGAGGAAATTAGGCTCCCCTTAGCATCAGCAGGACTGTATGAACCCCAATGTCAGGATCCCTACAAGAGGGCCATCATAAGCCACATGAGGTGACCACGGAACCACAGATTGAACTCACTCACTCTGCACAGCAGTAGTGCTTGTTACCTTTCACACCCTTTAACCTCCAGAATATTCCGACCACCAAGGAAATACTGTTGCCCGTGTGACTTTTTTTACCTTGGTCTCTGCACAGAGTTAGCTGGTCATCGCGGTACTTGTGGGCCTTCTCCTTCCACATTGCTGAGAGCCTGAATTTATTCATCACAATGGGTAGTCTCAATCTCCCGTCCCTGGGGCCACTGCAGTGGGGTACGCCTCCCCTAGATGGGGTGACCAAAGACCCCTTCCCATAGGAGAATGGGAATCCTGGAAGAGCCCCCATAAAATAGTTAGAAATAAAGCTTGGAGTCACAAAGGAAATGAACACTTGATCAAAGGATTTCTCAGCAAGGCAATTTTTACTTCTGCAGAAGGGTGCTACCTGTAAGCCTGATTGCCACGAGAGCAACCAGAACAAAGGAAAGCAGGGGTTTTTATTCCTAACGCAATTTGTTTCTACTATTGTGTCCTGTCTCCATTGGCTGGAACTGGACCACACAATCTAAACTGATCCCAGTTGGCTAAAAACTTAAACTTTCCCAAATAAGGTAAAGGCGCAATGGGGAACCAAGGAAAGGAGGGGGTCGCTTATGGGAAACCAGGAAGACAATAATATTTCCAAATAAGGAAAGAGCATAGGCTGCAAGCTGTGACATGCCTGGGCGTGTCCAGGCAGATCCAGGCAGACTAGGGAACAAAGGAGTTAGGCCTTGGTTCAAGTACAAGAACATAGAATGTGTTTATTTGTTTACTGTATGTAACAACTCCTTTGTGGCACAATAAAGAGTCATTAGTAAAATAGAAGATTTGTTAGTATGAAGAGCAAGGGAAACTTAAAGGAAGCTTTTAAGAGGAACTATCTTCTTAAGACTTATCATTCTAAACCAAAAAGGAAAACTTTGAAGAGGAACTTTTATTCTTAATAAATTTTCTCTCTTTTTTTCTGGGTTTGTTTAGCTAGTGGTTTATCAATTTTGTTTATGTTTTTGAAGAACAAACTTTTCACTTTGTTGATCATTTACATGGTTTTTAAAAGTCTTTATTTATTTCTACTATGATCTTTATTATTTCTTTTCTGCTAATTTTGGATATGTTTTTTTCTTGCTTTTCTGGTTCCATGAGGTTCATTGTTATATTGTTAATTTGTAATGTTTCTACTTTTCTTAGGTGGGTATTTATTGCTATAAACCTCCCTTTTAGCCCTGTTTAGCTGTATCCCACAGGTTTTGGTATGTTGTGTTTCCATTTTCATTTATTTCAAGAAACTTTTTGATTTACATCTTAATTTCTCTGTTGACTCAATGGTTATTCAGGAGCAGGTTGCTTAATTTCCATGTATTGGTCTAGTTGCCAACATTTCTCTTGGTGTATATTTCTAGTTTTATTCCATTGTGGCCAGAGAAGATATTTAATATGATTTCAATTTTTGAAAATTTGTTGAGACTTGTTTTGTGGCTTAACATAGGCTCTCTCCCAGAAAATGTTCCATGTGTTCATGAAAAGAGTGTATATTCTGTAGTGTTAGAGAGAATGCTCTGTAAATATCTGTTAGCTTTATTTGGTGTAAAATTCAGTTTAAATCTAATGTTTCTTTCTTGATTTTCTGTGTAGATGATCTGTCTTATGCTGAGGTTGGATGTTGAAGTCCCCCGCTATTATTGTATTGGAGTCTATCTCTCTTGTTAGATGTAGTAATATTTGTTTTATGAATCTAGTGCTCCAATGTTTAGTGCATATATATTTAGAATTGTTCTATTCTCTTCTTGGATGGATGTCTTTATGATTATGTGATGGCCTTCCTTATCTTTTAAAAAAATTGTTCTTGACTTACTGTTTATTTTATCTGCTATAAGTATAGCTACTCCTGCTCACTTTTGGTTTCGATAGATAACCTGTTGCCATTCTTTTACCTTCTGTCTCTATGGATTGTGGTGAGGTGGTATTACCAGTGAGTTTTTTTGTAAGCAGAATGTAGTTAGATCATGTTTTCTACCCATTCAGCCATTCTACATCTTATAAGTGGAGAATTTAATCTGTTTACATTCCAGATTTTTATTAATATGTGAGGCTTTGTGCTGAGACCAACTCAGCTGGGGAGACCCTAACCCAGCAGCGCTAGAGAAATTAAAGACACACACACAGAAATATACAGGTGTGAAGTGGGAAATCAGGGGTCTCCCAGCCTTCAGAGCTGACAGCCTCGAATAGAGATTTACCCCTGTATTTATTAACTCAAGCCAGTGATAAGCATTGTTTCTATAGATTATAGATTAACTAAAAGTATTCCTTATGGGAAACAAAGGGATGGGCCAAAATAAAAGGATAGGTTTGGCTAGTTATCTGCAGCAGGAGCATGTCTTTAAGGCACAGATCACTCATGCTATTGTTTGTGGTTGAAGAACAACTTGAAGCAGTTTTCTGCCCTGAGTGGGCCAGGTGTTCCTTGCCCTCATTCTGGTAAACCCACAACCTTCCAGTGTGGGCGTCATGGCCATCATTAACATGTCACAGTGCTGCAGAGATTTTGTTTATGGCCAGTTTTGGGGCCAGTTTATGGCCAGACTTTTGGGGTCCTGTTCCCAACAGCTTTGTTCCTTTCACACTGTTGTTTTCTGGTTGTTTTATATGTCTTTTGTTATTGTCTTTTTCTCTTATTGCTTGTCATTATGCTTTGGTGGATTTCTGTAGTAGGACCATCTGAGAACTTTCTCTTCCTCTTTTGTGTGATTGCTTTACCAGTGAGTTTTATACTTGTGTATGTTCTCATGGTGATAATGTGGAAATGTTGAAAATGTTGTCCTTTCAATTCCAGGTTTAGGACTTTCTTGAGCATTTCCTGTAGGCCCTGTCCAGTGATAATGAAGCCTTTCAGCATTTGCTTGTCTTGGAAAGACAATTTCTTTTTCAATTATGAAGAATAATTTATGTTTTGTTTATTACTCTTGGCTTGGCAGTTCTTTTCTTTCAGGACTTTGATTATGCTATCCTATTCTCTTCTGGCCTGTAAGATTTCTGCAAGAAATCTGCTGTTAGAGCTGGGCACAGTGGCTCACACCTGTAATCCCAGCACTTTGGGAGGCTGAGGTGGGCGGATCATGAGGTCAAGAGATAAAGACCATCCTGGCCAACATGGTGAAATCCCATCTCTACTAAATATACAAAAAAAAAAAATTAGCTGGGTGTGGTGGCTTGTACCTGTCATCCCAGCTACTTGGGAGGCTGAGGCAGGAGATCACCTGAACCCAGGAGGCGGAGGTTGCAGTGAACCGAGATCATGCCACTGCACTCCAGCCTGGCAACATAGCGAGACTCTGTTTCAAAAAAAAGAAAAAAGAAAAAGAAATCTGTTGTTAGTCTGATGGGGTTTCCTTTCTTGGTGACTAAATGCTTTTCTCTTACTATTTTTAGGATTTGCGTTTTACCTTAGACTATAGAAAGTCTGATTATATGCCATGGAGAAGAACTTTTTGCACTGTATTTTTCTCAGAATTGTTGAACATTTTGTATCTGAATGTCTAAATCACTTGCTAGAGTTGGGAATTATTCATCTATTCTTTCATTAAATAGGTTTTCTAATCTGTTCTTTGTCTCTTTGCTCTTGAGGATACCGATAATTTGAATATTTGGTTGTTTATATTGTACCAAATGTCACAAAGGCTTTGCTCATTCTTTTTGTGTGTGTGTTTTTGTCTTATTGAATTATTTCACGATGTATATCTTCAAGTTTTGGAATTCTTCCTTCTGCCCGACCTAGTATATTGTTGAAGCTTTCAAATGTATTTGGAATTTCATGTCATGAATTCTTTAATTCCAGAATTTCTATTTGTTTTTTTTAAATCTATATCTCTTGTAAACTTCTTATTCATATCCTGAATTATTTTTAGGCTTTCTTGGTATTTTTTTTCAGAATTCTTTTGTATCTCATTGAACTTCTGTAAAATAAATATTTTGAATCCTTTATCTGGAATCTTGAAAATTTCTTTTTGATTAAGATCTATTGTCTTCCTTTGGGGCTTTTTTTTCTTTTTTTGCTTTTTCATGTTTCTGTGTCCTAACGTTAATATTTTTACATCTGATATCACAGTCAGTTTCCTATTTTTGAATTTTGTTTCATAGTGGATAACTTTTTCCTGAAGATGAGTCTATGATGTTGGTTGTGTGGGGTACTTTGGATTTGATTCTGGGTGTAGTACATAGTAGAGTACTATGGTCTCTGTGTAATTTCTTTGGCTGTAGGCAGTGTTAATGGTATCTGTGATTTCTTCTGTGCATTAGGGTGTGGTTATTAGTGAGGCTGTGGTGAAGATGTGCTGGGGACTGGGATGCCATATGAGACAGTCTTCAGGCTCCAACGGTGGCAGTGGTGTGCTGAGTGTTCCTATCTTTGTGCCCCAAGGTGGTGTATACTGGCATTCGTGTTGGTGGTTACTGGTGGGCTGATTCCTGGGCCTCCAGGTGGCCTGCTTGGATGCCAGTAGTGGCAGAGGTTGACTGGGTGGGTGGGTGGGGTCTTCGGCTCCTGGGCAGCTAGCTTGGCAGTGGCAGTGGTGGGCTGCTTCTCTGGGTCCAAGCAGTGTGCATTGTTAGTGGCAGCTGTGATAGGCTGGGTGGGATGCCCATAGGTGGTGTTTGCAGGTAGGTGACAGATAGGGTAATTGCCCCCAACCTCAGGTACCCAGAAGGAGTGCACAGGTGCCCAAGGTGGTGGATTGGGGAGAGGAATTCCCAGGCCCCAGGGCTGTGTTCTCTGTCTCGGTGGGAGGGGGCGATGAAGCTGTCTCTTCATCATTAAATGCTGTACCAGCTAGTCCCTTAATTTTCTTTTTGCCTAGAGGACTGAAACATTTATTATAGTTTAGGTCTGCTGGTTATTTTTTCACTCCCTATATGTCTAAAATCCAATTGTTTGTTTATTTATTTATTTATTTATTTATTTTTAAGACAGAGTCTCACTCTATTGCCCAGGCTGGAGTGCAATGATGTGATATTGGCTCACTGCAACCTCAGCCTCCCGTGTTCAAGTGATTCTCCTGCTTCAGCCCCCTGAGTAGCTGGGAATTACAGGCGCATGCCACCATGCTTAGCTAATTTTTGTATTTTTAGTAGAGACGAGGTTTCACCATGTTGGTCAGGCTGGTCTTGAACTCCTGACTTCGTGATCTGTCCACCTCAGCCTCCCAAAGTGTTGGGATGACAGGCATGAGCCACCGTGCCTGGCCTAAAATCCCTTTATTTTTTGATAGATATATTCAAGGTATGTTAGCTTAATTTAATCATTACACACGGTATACATATATCAATACATCAAATAATATCTTACGAATGTATTATAATTTGTCAATTAAACTTATACGTATATATTTGAAAAAGGTTTTATTTTCTGGGACTAGAATCTAGTTTCACAGCATTTTCCTTTTAGGACTCTAAAGATGTTGCTCATCTGTCTCCTCATTTGCATTGTTTCCAATGAAATAACTGCTGTCATCTTTATTATTATTCTTATTTTTTCACTTTCTGCTTTTTCAATTTTCTCTTCTTCTGTGGTTTTCAACAAATACATGTATTTGTTGAAAATTATAGAATTTTCCCAGAATTATAGAGTGAACTTGAGAAACAAGTTCACTCTACAGGCTTTTTGACTATTGGTTGTAAATTTTTAGAAACACTTGTTTGCTCCTTGTTTTATTAGGTCACAGGCTAATTTCCTCAGAGTATTCTTATATTGAAGAATATCATAATTAATTTTATTGGTCATCCCTAAAACCATAAAAACCCTAGAAGAAAAGCTAGGCAATACCATTCAGGCCATAGGCATGGGCAAGGACTTCATGACTAAAACACCAAAAGCAATGCAACAAAAGTCAACATTAACAAATGGGATCTAATTAAACTAAAGAGCTTCTGCACCACAAAAGAACTACCATCAGAATGAACAGGCAACCTACAGAATAGGAGAAAATTCTTACAATACTTACAATCCTTACAATCTACCCATCTGACAAAGGGCTAATATCCAGAATCTACAAAGAACTCAAATAAATTTACAAGAAAAAATCAAACAACCCCATCAAAAAGTGGGCAAAGGATATGAACTACACTTCTCAAAAGAAAACATTTATGTAGCCAACAGACACATGAAAAAATGCTCATCATCATCGGCCATCAGATAAATGCAAATCAAAACCACAATGAGATACCATCTCACATTAGTTAGAATGGCGATCATTAAAAAGTCAGGAAACAACAGGTGCTGGAGAGGATGTGGAGAAATAGGAACACTTTTACACTGTTGGTGGGACTGTAAACTAGTTCAACCGTTGTGGAAGACAGTGTGGCAACTCCTCAAGGATCTAGAACTAGAAATACCATTTGACCCAGTGATCCCATTACTGGGCGTATACCCAAAGGATTATAAATCATGCTGCTATAAAGACACATGCACACGTATGTTTATTGTGGCAGTATTCACATAGCAAAGACTTGGAACCAACCCAAATGTCCATCAATGATAGACGGGATTGAGAAAATGTGGCACATATACACCATGGAATACTATGCAGCCATAAAAAAGGATGAGTTCATGTCCTTTGTAGGGACATGGATGAAGCTGGAAACCATCATTCTGAGCAAACTATCCCAAGGACAGAAAAGCAAACACCGCATGTTCTCACTCATAAGTTGGAATTGAACAATGAGAACACTTGGACACAGGGTGGGGAACATCACACACTGGGGCCTGTCATGGGGTGGGGGCAGTGGGAAGGGATAGCATTGGGAGATATACCTAATGTAAATGATGAGTTAATGGGTGCGGCACACCAATATGGCACATGTATACATATGTAACAAACCTGCACGTTGGGCACATGTACCCTAGAACTTAAAGTATAATAATAAAAAAAATTATTGGTCATCTTGGCTAAAGCATGTTGCCTAGATAGGTAGTCAAGCATTATTCTGGATGATTTGTGAGGACATTTGTTGGATGAGATTAACATATAAATAGCTAGACTTTGAATAAAGTAGATTGATGTCTATCATGTGGGTGGGCTTCATTCAATTCATTGAAGGCATAAATTAAACAAAACACTGACCTTCCTCGAGCAAGATGGAACTCTGTAGCAGACAGCGCAGGGATTTGAACTGCAGTATCCATCAACTGACCCACAAACAGCTGGTTGGTTTGTGTATAGCATTTGCAAGATGAATGAACAACATCCTGTTTGGAAGTCCACCTCTTTGATCAAACAAGGTAAAAACAGAAGGGCTCTTGTGGACTTAATTGCATGGTGTTTTCTTAGCAGTGGTGGAAGAATTGAGCAATGATAAAGCTCCTACGTTTTAGTTTTTACTGACTTAAAGGGAGTGACTAATGGCCTGGCCATATAATTAATCAGGAGAGCAATGAAAAACTTGCCTATGAAAAGAATGCCCATGTGAGCCAAGTCCCACGGAAATCACTATGGTAATTTGAGGGGTTCATTAATGTAAGATCTGTTGATACCTGATATAGATTGGATGCTGTTCTTGTGCAGATCTCATGTCGAGATGTGATCCCCAGCATTATAGGTGGGGCCTGGAGGGAGGGAGGTGGTTGGATCACGAGGTCAGTTTCTCATGAATCCTTTAGCACCGTCCCCTCAGTGCTGTTCAGTGTCCCTCAGAATAACTCCCTTCCAGGTTTGGAAGGTGATTGAAATCAACAAGAATTTATCTCCAAGTGTTTGCCAGGTGCACCTGTAATTTCAGCTATGAAAGCAGCTGAGGCAGAAGGATATCTTGAGTCCAGGAGTTAGAGTTTAGCCTCAGCAACACTTGAGGCCAGCCAGGGAAACATATCAAGACCACATCTCAAAAACAACAACAACAACAAAAAATCCAGGTTTGCTTGTGGTGATCACCTGAGTCCGTGAAATGAATAGACATTGGGGTTGTAGCAATGCAGAGATAGGTGGAATCAAGACATATTCCTCTTGCATTCCACACATCACAGGCAAAAAATACACATAAGAAGTGCTTCCTTTAACAAAAAAAGGAGAGCTAGCATATGGCTATGTGGCAGATTCTTTTATGCCAGGGCCTTGAAAATACATAGCTGGCAAGTTAGACTGATACCAGTAGCCCCAGGAAGCAGCAAATGGGTCTTGGCAGGAACAGATCCTCACCCTGGAATGGGCTTTGTTCAGCTGGTGGTAGGTGTGTTACCAAACTGAACTGGGGTCCACTCACCTGGGGCAGTAAAAGCAAACATCCACACTGAGAATGTAGTGGGAGAAAGGAAGGCATTTATGTGTAGGGCACCAAACAAGGAGAATTGGGCAGCTCACGCTTAAGACCCAACTTTTTGATGGCTCACAAGCAAGAATTTTTAAAGGCAGGGGCAAATTTCGGGACAGCAGAGTTACAGGCAACATCATAAATCAATGCATAGAAGTTATACACTGCTTTGGCCTTAAAAGGTGGAATATCCTGATGAGGGAGCTTACAGGTCTTAGGTAGATGTAAAGATTCTCTGATTTGTGATAGATAAGAAAGTGAAGCTTCTTTACGCAGCTTCCTTACACAGTTGGGGGCAGTAGAGAGGAATGTTCAGGCCTGGCCTGTGGGCTTTACTCTCTCCAGGCCCCTCAGGAAGAAATTTAGAACAAAGAACGGCGGTCAGAGTTCAGTCCTCAGTTTCCCCTTTATAAGATCTCCCTGTCAGTGGATCTATTAGGTGGGAATCCATGTTTCTGAAAAACAACTCAGGGGCATATGTTAAGGTGTTATTTTTAGTTTCTATAGAGAATCAAACATCTTGTGACTCTAACTTCCTTGGCTGTTGTTTTAAGCTATCATTACCATCTTGCTTATAAGGTCACTCACTACTTTTTAGGGCTGGCTAGGTACCTGGAATTTCTCTTGAAGGAACTAAAGGTTTTTCTTTATTTCCAGGTTGGGAGGCCCTGGCAGGCTTCTAAGAGAGGTCCCTGCTTTATCTCAGATGCAAATGCTCGGAGTGTTACAAAAGAACCTGAATGGGAGGTACTGCAACCATGTAGACCACAGAGTCATATTTCTTTACACCAGAAAATGCACCTGCTCAAAATGTCCAACAATGGTCAGAGAGATATCCTTCTCAGAGAAAGAGTTCTGTAGAGAATTAAAATAGTCAATTGGGTGTATAAAGGCAAGAGTGGGGAAACAAGCACAAAGGGTGGGCTTATACACCTTCTTGAGTGTGCTCGCACTTGACGTGAGAGTATCCTCTCTTTTCCTGGTGGATCAGGGGAAGGTGCTGGTGTGATCTACATATATTCCTTCCCAAGCTGGGAGGACACTGGAATGACGACTGTAATTCACCTCAACTTGCTTTTCTCATACCTGATGCAGTGGTCCCAGGACTAGGGATGCAAATAGAGTCCAGAAACAGGAATTATTCCTGAGCAAGAAACTGTAAATATATTTTATGTCCATTATGTAATAATTCCTAAGGGCCTGTAGAAGTAGGTTGTGCCTTCACTGCATCTGGCAAAGTTGGGGCTAACACTGAATGCAGCTGTATTGCCTGGGGTCAGATAGCCAACCAGTTCTCTACCTGCATAACCCTACCCTCTATGAACTGGAATGGATGACGGGAGACACTTGCTAGAACAGTATTGCTCCCTGCAGTCTCAGCCAGCACAGCAGCAGAACCTAGTGTTCCTTCCAAAATTATAAATGTTTAGTATAAATGAAGGGAAGGAGAAATAGTAGCTGAGGGTAAATGAATGAATAAATGGGTTATGTAATGAGGAAAATCCAATGTTACATGAACTACTTGAAAGAGGTATAAGCAAGAGATGATATTGTCTCTTAGCTCAATTTTACCAGTTGCCTGAAAGCGTGCAGTCATATGTTGCTGAAACTATTCCTGTTTATGGATTGCACTGGGATCATTGTTAATGACCAAAGAGGATTGTGGTAATGTGCCAGGGTCTTTTCACTGTTATGATTCTTCTGGTATAGGAGATCTGTGATTGGCCAGGCACAGTGGCTCACACTTGTAATTCCATCAGTTTGGGAGGCAATGGTAGGAATATTGTTTAAGGCCAGGAGTTTGAGACCAGACTGGGCAGAATAGTGAGACCCATTCCTACAAAATATTTAAAAATTAGTTGGGCATGGTGGTGTGTACCTGTAATGCTATCTACTCAGGAGGCTGAGGCAGAAGGATCACTTGAGTCCAGGAATTCGAGGTTAGAGTGAGCTATGATTGTGCCACTGCATTCTACCCTGGGCAACAGAGCAAGAGATTATCTCTAAAATAAAATAATAAATATTATAAAAAGAGATAATGTGGTCAAAACCAGGGTGTGAACTGTGGTCCAATAAAAATATTTGGTCTTTTCCCTGTTTCCTGACAACCAGGTTCTAAAACATTTGCAATCTCCTCAGTGATAAACATGACTTCAATATGGCAATGAGATGACTATGGGGTGAGGGGCTCCTAGATAGCTTCAGGATGGGGGCTGGTTGCCAGAAACACGAAGCTGTGATTAGAGGATTGGAACTGTTAACCCCATCCCTAAAGTCTGGGAAGGAAAGAGAGGTTCGAGGTTGAGTTCAGTCACACAATGACCAGTGATTTAATTAGTCTTGCCTCCACAATGAAATTTCCATAGAAACCTCTGGGGATTGGGT
Source organism: Homo sapiens (assembly GCF_000001405.40). Lineage (NCBI taxonomy): Eukaryota > Metazoa > Chordata > Mammalia > Primates > Hominidae > Homo > Homo sapiens. Next base: position 2,655,912 of record NT_167246.2, read on the forward strand.
TTCGGAGAGCTTCCCAATTGCTGAGCACATCCGTGTGTCCACGTGCTGGGAGGATGGTGAGCCCCATCTCCATGGGGACAGAGGCTCCTGTGCTCAGAACCCTTCCAGGCCTCACCCTGTGCACCTCTTCATCTGGCTGCTCCTTTGTATCCTTTATAACTGCTATGGTTTGAATGTTTCCCCAAAAAAGCATCTGTTGGATATTTCATCCCGAATGCAACATTTTTAAGAAATGGGACTTTTGAGAGGTGATTGGACCATCAGAGCTCTGCCTTCATTAATAGACTAAGGCTCATCATAAAAGGACCTGAGGCTGTGAGTTTGACTTCCTTTCCCCCCACCTCTCACCCTCTCTTGTCCTTTTGTTTTCTACCAGATAGAGTCCCTTGATCTGGGAATTCTCATCCTCGACACCATGAACGAGACAAATTTCTGTTTGTTATAAGTTATCCAATCTCAGGAGTTCTGCTCTAGTGGCATAATTTAAACCAGGGGTCCTTAACCCCCGGGCTGCGGACTGGTACAGGTTCCTGGCCTGGTAGGAACCAGACTGCACAGCAGGAGGTGATCGGTGGGTGAGAGAGCATGAGCATAACACCAGAGTTCCGCCTCCTGTCAGATCAGTGGCGGAATTAGATTCTCATAGAAGCACGAACCCTATTGTGAACTCTGCATGCGAGAGATCTAGGTTGCATGCTCCTTATGAAGCGCTAATGCCTGATCATCTGAGGTACAACAGTTTCATCCGAAACCATTTCCCTCTGCCCTCCACCACCTCCACTGGTCCATGGAAAAACTGTCTTCCATGAAACCAGTCCCAGGTGCCAAAAAGGTGGGGATTTAAGCTATAACAATAAAAAACTGCAATACTGAGTGTGAAAAGAAAATAAAATTTCAGGACTCCAAATTCACTATACCAAAAGGAAAAATTAAGTTTGGAGACTGATGGAAAAACTGCCTTTCTTTCGTTCCTAAACAAATAACTGCAAAGATAGAAGACCACATATCTCCCCAGGTGGCCTCCCTCACAAACTGCTCACAAGATAATTCCTTGTGGGCCCCAACGTGTTTACCCTAAAACAGTTTTGTTGAATTTTCCCCTGACAATGTAAATTAACAGCTTATCTTCACAGGTACAGGACAAAGACAAGACTAGAAATCATCCCTCCACCCACCCAGAGTCAAACGCATATTTGACTTTTCCACCCAATGTTTACTTTATCTTATTTAAAATGCAGATTTACTGAGCATGAGATGAATGCATAGTTGACTATTTTTTTCCTCTCCTGGCTGCTCTTTCCCCTGTACACATTGAAGTCCTCAAAAGCCTGTTAGGAAAAAGCATGGGCCACAGATGCTACAATGATTTGTGTCTCTGTTTCCAAGGTGCATCTTCAGCTTGGCGAAATAAACTTCTAAACTGACTGAGACCTGTCTCAGACGTTTTTTGGTTTACATGGCTATAGCAACTTCCTGAGTTCTTTGAGTTAGTTTAAGAATTCTCAATCCTTGGGAGGTGAGAAACCCCTGACTTTGCAGCCATGTTAGACAGAAGTGCAGGTAACCTGGGACGTGATACTTGTGACTTGCTTCTGAAGTGAGGACAGACTTGTAGGACTGAGCTGGTAAACCTGTGGAGTCTGAGGCGAACTCCAGGTAGTTAGTGTCAGAATTGAGTCAAACTCTAGGACTCCCAGCTGCTGTTGGAGAATCAGAAAGTTATTTGGGTGGAAGAAAACCCCATCACCATCCCACAGAGAGAAACTTATAGTAAGAGTAAGCAAGTAAACCTCTACCTTCTTCGGTCCCAGAGGAAAAGATAGACAAATGTAAGCATTTGTTTCATGTCCCTAAACACAGGTTGCTACCAGCTGTTCATTGTCTAGACGTGGAGTGGTCCTACCTTTAATCTAGAAGTTAGGATTTTTTAGGCCTTTGAGGGTGTCCCATAAAAACTAATAAATGTTAGAGATTCTCTCCCCAGAAATATTTCCACACACAAGAAAATATAAATATTAATAGAAAACATCGTGTGGACCCAGAACCTCTGAGATCTTACAAACCTGGGAGTTTTAATCCTAGTAAGAGTCATGCTGAGGGAAGATGTTTGAATAATCATTTCATCATTACAGAATGCCACTCCAATAATCTAGAGTATAAACTGGGATAGACAAAAACTTGATGTAAACCTATCCTCAAGGGAATGGGTGGAACTATGTTATTTATTAGTCACTGGTTCATTCAGCCACTCTTCGTGCCTACTGGGTACCAGATAAAGTTCTCGTCCTGGATCACTGCTCCAAGGATTAAAATTTGTCACTTTTCCCCACCCCTCACACTCCAGCACTTGAACCCTCTTACTACATCAGAATTCCACACTGTCAATGAAAAGAGTCAAACTCAGTAACATATTTAAAGAGATTTATTCTGAGCCAAAAATGAGTGACCACAGCCCATGACACAGCCCTCAGGAGACCCTGAGAACATGTGCTCAAGGTGGTTGAGGCACAGGTTGGTTTTACACATTTAAGGAATATATGAGACATCAATCAAATACATTTAAGCTATACATTGGTTCAGTCCAGAAAGTTGGAACAATTTGAAGCAAGCAAGGGTTGCGGGGTAGTGCTTCTGGGTTATAAGTAGATTTTTAATTTTTCTGATTGGCAATTGGTTGAGTTATTATCAATAGAAAGGAATGTCTGGGTTATGATAAAAGGTTGTGGAGTCCAAAATTCTCATGCAGATGATGCCTCCAGGTGCCAGGCTTCAGAGAGAATAGATTGTAAATGTTTCTGATCAGACTGAAGGTCTGTGTTGATGGTAAATGCTGGTCAACTTTTCCTGAATTCCAAGAGGGAAGAGGGCATAATAAGACATGTTCAATACCTGCTTCCCTTGGTGGCCTGAGCCAGTCTTTCAGGTTAACTTTTGAGCACCCTGGCTAAGGGTGTCCATTAAAATGATTGGGAAGGGGTGGCTTTGATGTTTATTTTTGGTTTACAACATGTAAAATGTTGAGAGGAGACAGACACCACCTCCCTCCCTGGAAGAGGACAACAACACCCCAGTCACCCCTGCAGTTGCTCATGGACATGAGTTTTAAGCTCCACCAGTCTGATGACCACCTGCTGAAGAGGTGTCATTGTCTCAGGTAAATACTAAGTGTTCGTCATCTCACGCCAAGAAGATTAAGGACACTGACACACGAGGAGTGAGTTAGGATCAAAGGGTTTAATAGGCAAAAGAAAGACAAAGGGAAACAGCTCCTTCTTGTGAGAGAGAGGGGCACCCAAAAGGGAATTCCGGCCTGGAATGGGAGTGCATCGGATTTTGCAGGCAGGCTTGAGGAGATGGTGTCTGATTTATGTAGGGCCCACAGGTTGGTTGGACCAGGTGTCATATTTACATAGTGTGTGTGGAAGGCTGTTCACCCCACCCTCATCCTATTATGCAAATGGGCTTTCCACTTGGCTGGTGACACGTTGTCTGCTCCTTACTGTAAACGTGCCTGGCAAAGAGAAGGGAAGATGGAGCCGCCATAGTGAACATGCCCAGTCCCAGGTGTCCTATTCCTATTGGACAGCTGCTGGCATTCACCCGTGCAAACTTCCAGCTTACTTGTCTATGTCTGAATCTTGATATTACAGGCTGCTCCTTGTTAGAAAAGAAAATAATTTGGAGCCTGCTTTCCATTAAAAGCCTTGCGTACCCTCACTACCTGTCTAAATAATTTCTTCTTAACTCCTATATCACTGCCAGACTCAGCCAGAATGAGGTGACAGAGAGGCTAGGACTGTGCAGAAAGCATTTTAGTAAAGATGGCTGAGTGACAGTAGTGATGTCCAATTTCCAGATGCAGCAGTGACATCTGTCCTAGCCTCAGGGTCCAGTGTCCAGGACCAGGGTGTCAGAGGTGTGAGCAGTGGTGTCTGTGCTCAGCAGCAGAGGCAGTTGTTCCTAGGAGGGACCTGATCCAGGGTGGGCTGTGAATTCTGTTCTTGGATGTGTAGTTTCCAGCCTGGTTCTGTGGCCTTCCCCACAATAAAACTAGCCCCCAATACCAATATACAACTTTATGTGTACATTACAGAAACTTGGTTTCCATAGTTTTCTCCAAGAAGTGAGTGAGAAATGAGTCTGTGGGCGTGTCAGAGAGCGGCATTCAGAGGTGTTCTTTGTGCGAGAGCCACATCCTGAATTGTCTGCCTGGCCTCTACCCCATGGTGGAGAGAACAACAGAGAATATCACCTCTCATAACTGATGATATACATCCTCCCTTTTCTTTCTGTGAGAAAAATCCTCTTTTAAACAGAGTTTGAAAACCCACCCCACCCACCCACCCTGGGCACTCTCTGATCACTGATCTCAGTGGTTCCCAATCTGTCTGAGCAATAGGATTGCTGGCGGGGACTTAGAAAATACACAGGCCACTCCCCAGAACCCTTGTCTCAGAGTATTATGCACAAGACCAAGGAATCATTTATATGACAAGCCCTAGAGGTGAGGCTGATGCTCAGATGTGTGGGATCCTGGTGCTCTTGCTACTCCAAGTGTGATCTGGAGACCAGCAACATGAGCTCCAGCCTTGTCATAAATCCAGAATCTCTTGCTCGACTCCAGACTTCCAGGATCTCAGCACCACATCCAGATGATCCTGGTGCACATGGGGGTTCCTTGTCTGAGTGTCCTCTAGACGTGGGGCCAGAACTGTGCAGTCTGCTCTGGGTGTGGTCTGATCACACCCCTTAGAACTGGAGGTCCAGGGTTCAGTCCTTGTGCTCATTCTTTTCCATAGTCAGTCACTCCCTTTGTGCCTCATCCGTGCTTGAGGTTTTAAGTCTCATATATATGGTGTGACTTCCTAAATCTATTTCTCCAGCCCAGTCCTTTCCCCTGAACTCTGGAGTTGTCTGTCCAAATTCCACCCCAGCTCCCCCACTTGCCTTCCTGGTAGACATCTCCTCCACTGAATGCCTGTGATGCCCCCTCCTCAGGACGCTCCTGCCAGAGTCTCCCCATCTCCACTGACAGCAGCTCCACCCTTCTACTCACTCATCTTACAACTATGGGTGTCCTTGATTCGTCTTTCTCACACCACAGATACAATCCATTGGCAAATGCTGTGAGTCCATCTTCAAATGCATCCAGAATCCCCTCACGTCCCACTATTTCCCCTGCTCACGCCCCAGTCAAGGTAACCGACATCTCCAGCCTGGAATACTGCACTTGATTCCTACTGTTTTCCCTTCTGCTTCCCTCATCCCTCACCTCTCAATTCTGTTCTCAGCACAGCAGTCAGAGAGATCCTTTTAAAACAGAAGTTATATCATGGCCCTCTTCTGCTCAAAACTGTCCTCTAACTCCCCATCCCACTCAGAGCAAAGGTCAGATGCAACCCCACTCCCCTCAAGCCCACCTGTTCTGGCCGCACCTCTGACCTCACCTCAGTTTCTCTCTGTCCAGCCCTCCTGGCCTCCTTGCTCTTCTGGGAACACAGACCTTCCTGCCATAGTGCATTTGGACTGGAGCTTCCTCTGCCTGGAAAGAACTTCCCCAGATATCCTCATGTCCCTCAAATCTTTCCTCAAAAGTCACCTTTGCAAAAAGGCACACACTGACTACCCAGCACAACAGCCACCTTCCCTGTCCCCACTGCCCACATCCTGGATCACCTGCCTCACAGCACTTACCACCTTCTAGCACTTTCCTTCCTTACTCTGGTTATAGTGTATCTATCGTCTGCCTCTTCCCACTGGAACATATGCTACAAAAGGCCAGAGATTTTTCTGATTTTACTTCAGTGGTGTTCCCCAGATGCAGAACCATTCTGTCCTATGTCTGGCCAATGACAAAGGTCAGTTGAATGAATGATCACTGTAGAGCACCTCCCTATTTTGAAGGCAGTATCTTTATTAACATAGCCTCAGGCCAAGTGCTGTTTTGTGGCAGCTGCAGCACAAGGACCCCTCACACTGAGATAGAGGCCGCCTATGTTTTTCTCAGCAGTGCTGCTTGTGTGCCCTCCCTCCCCATCCCTCTTTCTACAGCAACCCCCTCCCCGCACCCCCTGCCCCAGCACACTGCAGCACACAATCAGGTTCTCTCTTCAGGAAAGAACAGTCCTTGATGATGGGTCCAATTTCACAGACAAATGTAAGTCTAAATTAGACTCTGCTTTACAGATTCATGAGTTGGGATTGGATTCAGCACCAAGATCACTAGAACCAGGGCAGGGAGAGAGGGCAGAAGAGCAGAGCAGAAAAGGAGCTCTAGAAGCAGGGCAGGAGGTGAATGGCTCTGAAAATTTGTCTCAGAATGCACAGAGACCCCCGTGTGCAGGGGCCGCCCTGGGCGATGTGTGAGCCTCTGTGGTCACAGCTCCCGCTGGACAAGTTTCCACTGAAGGGACAAGGACAATGGAGCAGTGAAGGTGACCCAGCTGACGACTAACCACATAAAGCCCATGATGGACTCAACACCAAATGGGCACAGGCCCCGTCCACACTCGGCCCCCCACAGCCTTCTCCACACCCCACCTGCAACAGACTCAGCACAGCGAACATGCAGATTCTGGAAGGTTCTCAGGTCTTTATTTGCTCTCTCAAATTCCAGGAATTGACTTATTTAATTAATCCATCAACCTCTCATAGCAAATATTTGAGAAAACAAATTTATATTCAGATTCTTATTTTCAGTAGGGAAGTAAGAAGTTGCAGCTCAGTGCACATAAAGTTGAGACAGAGATGGAGACATCCAGCCCCACCTCTCTGGAACAGGAAAGATGACTGGGGAGGAAACACAAGTCAGCATGGGAACAGGGGTCACGGTGGACACGGGGGTGGGCTGTCTCTCCACCTCCTCACATTATGCTAACAGGGACGCAGACACATTCAGGTGCCTTTGCAGAAAGAGATGCCAGAGGCTCTTGAAGTCACAAAGGGGAGGCGTGAAGAAATCCTGCATCTCAGTCCCTCACAAGACAGCTGTCTCAGGCTACAGAAAACAACAGTCATGAACAAATTCTGGTTAGTCATGGTAAGTGATGACACTCTAAACAGCCCACCACACACGCGAAACATCCCAATCAAAGAATCTCCATTACCCAGGCCTTTCCCCACTGCCCCACCCACCCCCAGACCTGCCACCCCACCCACTCTAGACCCCAAGAATCTCACCTTTTCAAGCTGTGAGAGACACATCAGAGCCCTGGGCACTGTCGCTGCCTGGAGTAGAACAAAAACAGGACCTGGTCAGAGCCCGCAGGAGACGTGGGACAGGAGGAATTATGGGGTGGGTGAGCTCCTCCACACTCCCGCCCCCATCACTTACACGCAGCCTGAGAGTAGCTCCCTCCTTTTCCACCTGTGGGAAGAAAATGCCCTGTGAGGGGACTGGGAGGAAGCAGGGCCATGAGATCTTAGAGGAACCTCCTCGTCTTGGACCCAAAAGGAATTTCCAGAAGTATGACTACAGACCCAAGGCAGGATCAGGAAACACGAGGAAAGCAAGTGTGGGTCCTGGACCAACTGCCCTCCTAAGGTCTGTCCTTAGCAGGGACCTTCCCCTGACTCATGAATGCTGGAATCAGGACCCCAACACCACAACCACCAAGGTGATACATCCGTCCTTCATTGTCACATGTGCTGCACAAAAGAGTAAGTGCTGGCACACAGGGTCCCAGGCTGCGTTAGCCCCTGTGTGGATGCTGCTTCCCAGTAATGAGGCAGGGAACACTTCTACCTGGGGCTTGAAACCCCCAGTGGGACAAGAAAACCCAGACCCCACCCCTCACCCCTTCCCTACCTGAGCTCTTCCTCCTACACATCACAGCAGCGACCACAGCTCCGATGACCACAACTGCTAGGACAGCCAGGCCAGCAACAATGCCCACGATGGGGACGGTGGACTGGGAAGACGGCTCTGGGAAAGGAAGGGAAGATGAGGGGCCCTGACCCTGCTGAAGGGCTCCTGCTTTCCCTGAGAAGAGATATGACCCCTCATCCCCCTCCTTACCCCATCTCAGGGTGAGGGGCTTCGGCAGCCCCTCATGCTGTACATGGCATGTGTATCTCTGCTCTTCTCCAGAAGGCACCACCACAGCTGCCCACTTCTGGAAGGTTCTATCTCCTGCTGGTCTGGTCTCCACAAGCTCGGTGTCCTGAGTTTGGTCCTCGCCATCCCGCTGCCAGGTCAGTGTGATCTCCGCAGGGTAGAAGCCCAGGGCCCAGCACCTCAGGGTGACCTCATGGTCAGAGATGGGGTGGTGGGTCACATGTGTCTTTGGGGGGTCTGATGGGAAGAGTCAGAAAATTCAGGCGCTTTGCATCTCTCATGGGACACCCTAGGACCACCCATGTGACCAGCCTGAGAATGGACAGGACACCTGGGGTGGGGAAGGGGCACAGAACCCAGACACCAGCCTGGACGCAGGCACCTGGGATAATCTCCTATTCATTGGAAAGTTCGAGTCTCTGAGCGGGGAACAGGGACTTCTGCTCCTGATCTGAGTGGAGGTAAAGTGACTCAGAAGTGCTGGAATCAGAGCCCCAAACACACTGAGTGTGAGGCAGAGAACAAGGCCTGAGAGGAAAAGTCACGGTTCCCAAGGCTGCTGCAGGGGTCAAAGGGGACCCCTGATCAGTATTCTAGGGACTGTCTTCCCCTCCATTTCCTCAGAGACGTCATCCCTTAATTGTCCTAGAGAGAAGAGGGGGCCCTCAGAGGAAACTCAGGAAAACTCATGCCATTCTCCATTCAAGGGAGGGCGACATTCTAGCGCTGATCCCATTTTCCTCCTCTTCTCGTGGGAGGCCATCCCCGGCGACCTATAGGAGATGGGGAAGGCTCCCCACTGCCCCTGGTACCCGCGCGCTGCAGCGTCTCCTTCCCGTTCTCCAGGTATCTGCGGAGCGACTCCACGCACAGGCCCTCCAGGTAGGCTCTCAGCTGCTCCGCCACACGGGCCGCCTCCCACTTGCGCTGGGTGATCTGAGCCGCGGTGTCCGCCGCGGTCCAGGAGCTCAGGTCCTCGTTCAGGGCGATGTAATCCTTGCCGTCGTAGGCGTCCTGGTCATACCCGCGGAGGAGGCGCCCGTCCGGCCCCACGTCGCAGCCGTACATCCTCTGGATGATGTGAGACCCTGGCCCCGGCCCCGCGGTCAGCCCCGTCCCCCGAGCCCCGCCCCGCCCCGACCAACCCGCGGGGATTTTGGCCTCAACTGAAAATGAAACCGGGTAAACGCGCCTGGGGCTCTCGCCGGTCGAGGGTCTGGGCGGGTCCCGCGGCCTCGGGGGCGGATCTCGGACCCGGAGACTCGGGGCGACCCGGGCCGTACGTGGGGGATGGGGAGTCGTGACCTGCGCCCCGGGCCGGGGTCACTCACCGGCCTCGCTCTGGTTGTAGTAGCGGAGCGCGGTGCGCAGGTTCTCTCGGTAAGTCTGTGTGTTGGTCTTGGAGATCTGTGTCTCCCGGTCCCAATACTCCGGCCCCTCCTGCTCTATCCATGGCGCCCGCGGCTCCTTCCTCGGACTCGTGGCGTCGCTGTCGAACCTCACGAACAGCGTGTCGTCCACGTAGCCCACGGTGATGAAGCGGGGCTCCCCGCGGCCGGGCCGGGACATGGCGGTGTAGAAATACCTCATGGAGTGGGAGCCTGGGGGCGAGGAGGGGCTGAGACCCGCCCGACCCTCCTCCCGGCGCGGCTCCCCGGGTCCTGCGCCCCCGCCTGCGGTCCCCTCTCTCCTCCCCACAGAGGCCATTTCCCTCCCGACCCCGCACTCACCGGCCCAGGTCTCGGTCAGGGCCACTGCCCCCCAGAGCAGCAGGAGGAGGGTTCGGGGCGCCGTGACCCGCATCTCGGCGTCTGAGGAGATTCTGAGTCCGGGTGGGTGCGTGGGGACTTTAGAACTGGGACCCCGGCGACACTGATTGGCTTCTCTAGACACCCGACACCCAATGGGAGTGGGAAATGGGGACGCGTCACGAGTATCCTGGAAGAAGGACCCGACATAGGTTGGGAGAAGAAGTGAAACTCGTGGGAGTGGGGAATCCCCAACGCTGCGCCTCCCCATTGCAGACGCGGCCCTCGGAGCCTGAGACCCTGAGAGCCCCGTCCGGGACCTGGGACTTCGTCCTGATCCCTCTTCTCCTACACCAGCCTCTTTGTCACACTGTCTGCCTGAGTCCTGGACAAGGATCTGTCTGTGGAAACCAGGGAGAGACCCCCAGGCTGCGCCCAGCCCCTTCCCCTTCACTTCTCCTCCTGGAATCCCTGTCCCTGAACTGGACTCCCTGCCTCTCACTCCTTACCTCTCCTCTTGGATCTTGTGTAGGGAAACTGATCACGGGGAACTTGATGCCAGAGAGTGAGCTCGCCCTGGGAATGGAGGTGTAGAGACAGGGGTTTTCTCTCTAAACCTGGCGAAGTTTTGTCTGAAGCCACCACACAGAGATTCTCATAGAGACCAGTTTCCTTTTTGTTTATTAATACAGTAGGTAGCACAATATTGGTAATCCCTGAATGATTAGAATTCCAATCTGCAAAAGACCTGTGTCAAAACAGCATTACAATTAAACTCTCAAAGCTCCTAAGTTTTACTTTCCCAGACTATGGATCTGTGACTCTGGGTTGTTGCATTTAAAATTATCTTCATTCCCCACCCCGAGTTTCCCTATATGAGTCCAGAACATCTCCTGAATATAAAGAAGCGGGGTTTGTTACTGTCTATTGCAACCGGGAACCTGTAGTCATCACCTCAAAGTTGGGAGTGCTCCATGCAGTCCCAATGCTCTTCACCGACGCTCAAGCACTGCCTGTTTTCCTGAACTCCGCACATCTAAGCAGTATGCATATTTTATCTGGACACTGGGTATTTTTGTAACTCTTTTTTTTTTAATCATAAGGAGCCAATTAGTTTTTAGGAAGTCTAACAAAATGTATTAAATACCGAATGCAAAGAACCCTCTGCCAGACTCTTCCACTGCTTTAAAATTCTTTCCCCTGCTCCTTTTCCTCACCTCCTGCCTCTCCAGCCCTTCTCTCTGCCCCTCTCATCCCTCACACCCCCGCTCCCCTTAGTCCCCGCCACCCTTTCACTCCTGAATTGTGGCACTAACACTGTCCCTCACCTCCTGCCCATGTCTGTTCTCCCCACAGTGCTCAGCAGTCCTGCTAATGTGACTCAGGTCATGTCATTTCTTCACTTGCAATGGTTGGGTTTTGGTCTACCATTTTGCTAGATGTTTTCAATTTGTCTCATATCTTTTTGTTTCTGTTCCTCCTTTACTACTTTCTTATGTGTCAAATAAACATTTTTTAGTTTATGGTTTTAATTCTCCTAGTGGCTTTTGGCTATATTTCTTTACACAATAGCAAAGAATGGAAACCCGATTCCTTGACTTTTCACAGTGAAGTTCAGGTTATATTAAGCTGCATCCAGAAAATAAAGGACACTTCTAACAGTGTAGTTTCTTGTAACCTACCATTGTGCTATTATTGTTGTATATATTACATCAACCTATATTATAAGCTCAATGATACAGTGTAATACTTTTTGTTTTAAACAAGTAGCCATATGTCTTCAGGAAATTAAGAAAATGAGTGTGAATGTGACATGTGTATGTGCATCATTTCTGTTGTTAATTGTTCCTTTCTGTATATCTGGGTCACCATCTAGTATCATTTTCCTTCACCCTGAAGCACTTCCTTTTAAATTAAATGTAGTACAGGACCCCTAGGAAATTAATTTTATGGCTTTGATTATCTAAAAATGTCTTTATTTTTGCCTCCCCTCCCCCCCTTTTATTTATTTATTTATTTTTGCTTATTAGGGCATTTATATGTAATAAAATTCACCAGTTTTAGCTGCGCTTTTTTGGCAAATATTGGTAATTATTTATAGTCATGTAACTACCACACTGCCCAGTAGAGAAACCCAGAATGCAAAGAATCCCCTGCTAGGCTCCTCCACTGCTTTAGAGTCCCTTCTCCTGCTCCTTGTCCTCACCTCCTGCTTCCCCAGCCCTTCTCTCTGTCCTCTTCCCTCACACCCTCCTCTCCCCTTAGTTCCCACCACCCAGTCACTCCTGAGTTGTGGCGCTGTAGAGAACCGTTTCTTTTCCCTAAAAACTTTCTTTCTGCCCCTTTCTATTTAATCCTTGCCTCCCACCCTCACCCCTTCCCTTCACTCAACCACCACTCTGTTTTCTGTCACTGCAATACTGAAATTTCTAGAATGTAATGGACGTGCAGTCTTATGTTATGTAGTCCTTCGTTTGGTCTCTCCTTTAGCATAACGATGTTTGAGATGATGCCATTCACTCATTTTTGTTGCTGAGCAGCTGCTGAGTATTGCGGGAATCCCAGCTTATTCATTGGTTTCTCTGCCTCCAGTTGATAGACATGTGGATTCCTCCAGTTAGGGCTTGTTATTAATGAAGCCACTATAAATAACTGCTTACAAGTGTGGCCTTACATTTTTATTTCTTTTGGATAAATACATATTTGTGGAATTGCTGGGCCATGTGGTAATAGATGGGTAACTGTATAAGAAACTGCCATACCACTTTACAAATTGGCTGCCACATTTTTTGCATTCCTACCAGCAATATCAGACATTCCTATTTTTTCCATATTCTTGACAATATTTAGACTTATCCAATGTCTTTTTAACTTTATCTATTCTAGGTGATGTGTGATGGTTTCTCATTGTGGTTTTAACTTGCACTTCTTTGATGACTAGTATTGTTTGCTGTCTTTTCATGTTCATCTAAGTGACTTATTACATATATTTTATGAACTATTTTGCAAATTCAATGATTAATTCCAGAGACTTTTTCAGAATTCCCTAGTGTTTTCTACATATGCAATGAAGTTGGTGACAAAGACTTTTGTTTCTTCCTTTCCTATCTATTGATCTTTTTTCTTTTAAAATTATTTTTATTTGGTAGAGATGAGGTCTCACTATCAGGCTGGTCTCAAACTCCTGAACTCAAGTGATCCTTCCACCTCAGCCTCCCAAAATGCAGGGATTACAGGCATTAGCCACCATGCCTGGTCCTTCTATTGGTTTCTTATTTCATTTTCTTGCCATGTTGCACTGATTTGGATGCCTCTTAGGTGTTTAAACAAGAATGATGAGAGCTCACATGTATGTTTACAAGGAGCTTAAACAAATTTACAAGAAAAAAAACAGCCCTATCAAAAATTGGCAAAGGGTATGAACAGACACTTCTCAGAAGAAAAAACATATGAAAAAAAAGCTCAATATCAATGATCATTAGAGAAAAGCAAATCAAAACCACAATGATGTACTATCTCCTGCGAGCCAGAATGGCGATTATTAAAAAGTGAGGAAACAATAGATGCTGGTGAGGCTGTGGAGAAATAGGAATGCTTTTTCACTGTTGGTGGGAATGTAAAATAGTTCAACCATTACGGAGGATGGTGTGACCATTCCTCAAAGATGTAGAACCAGAAATACTATTTGACCCAGCAATCCCTTTACTGGGTATATACCCAAAGGAATATCAATCATTCTACTATAAAGACACATGCACAGGTATGTTTATTGCAGCACTATTTTCAATAGCAAAGACATGGAACCAACCCACATGCCCATCAATGATAGTCTGGGTAAAGAAAATGTGGTAGATATACGCCATGGAATACTACACAGCCATAAAAAGGAATGAGTTCATGTCCTTTGCAGGGACTTGGATGAAGCTGGAAGTCATCGTCAGCAAAGTAACATGGGAACAGAAAACCTAACACCAGGTGTCCTCACTCTTAAGTGGGAGGTGAACAATGAGAACACATGGACACAGGGAGGGGAACAACACACACCAGGGCCTTTTGGGGAGTCGGGGGTAAGAGGAGGGAACTTAGAGGATGGGTGAATAGGTGCAGCAAACCACTATGGCAGACTATACGTATGTAACAAACCTGCACGTTCTGCACATGTATCTGGAACTTAAAGCAAAATAAAATAAATTAAATAAAAAAAGAAAGTGCATGACTTACATGTACACATATGTTCATTGAAGCACTATTCACAATAGCAAAGACTTGGAATCAACCTAAATGCCCATCAATGGTAGACTGGATAAAGAAAATGTGGCACATATACACCATAGAATACTATACAGCCATAAAAAAGAATGAGATTACGTCCTTTGCAGGAACATGGATGGAGCTGGAGGCCATTATTCTTAGCAAACTAACACAGGAACAGAAAACTATATACCACATGTTCTCACTTATAAGTGGGAGCTAAATGATGAGAATACATGGACATGCAGAGGGGAACAACACACACTGGGGTCCACTTGAGGGTGGAGGGTGGGAGGAGGGAGAGGATCAGGAAAAATAGCTAATGGGAACTAAGACTTAATACTTGGGTGGGTACTAATGGGTATAGAAATAATTTGTGAAACAAAACCCCATGACACAAGTTTACCTATATAACAAACCTGCACATGTACCCCTTAACTAAAAATAAAAGTTAAATTAAAAAAAAAAACAAAGAAAGTGCATGTCTGGAAAGAGCGTATGGTTGGGTTCCGTGTTTTTTTAAACCAAGTCACACAATCTCTGCCCTTCATTGGAGTGTTGATTCATATAGGTTTTTGTCATTATTGATATGATAAGTTTCATGTCTACCATGTTATTTTCCCGGTTTTTGTTTCTCTGTTCCTCTTGTCCTGATCAATGACTTTTTATTAGAAACCATAGAAACAAAAGAAAGTAGAATAACATCTTTAAAGTGCTGGAAGACAAAAAGATCAACTAAGAATTCTATATCCAGCATAGATGTCCTTCAAGGATAGGCAAATGAGATATTTCAGGTAAAAGAAAATTAAAAGAATTTGTCACCAGCAGATCTGTACAATTACAATTGGTAAAGAAAATTCTTCAGACTAGAGGCAAATGATACCAGGTGGAAAATGAGATTATCAAAAAAGATGAAGATGATCAAAAATGGTAAATATTGAGCTAAGTGCAAAAGGCTATCTTGCTCCCCTCATTTATTCTTACTTTATATACATAGAACTGTTTAAAGATAAGAAAAAGTTTTTTATCTTGGGACTTACAACCTATATAGATATATTACATATAATATCTATACCATAAAAGATGGACATTTTATAGAGGATAAATGGTTGCAATATTGCTATATTTATGGGCACTAGTACATTATTAACTGAAAGTAGTCTGTGAAATGTTAAGAATGAGTTAAGTTCTGAAGGAAATTGGGACACTAAAAACCATTCAAAAGATCGACAAGTCTCAGAGATGGTTTTTTGAAAACAAATCCTAGCCAGTCTTGAGTCTCATCATCCTACGATTTCAGAACTATCGTGAATATAAAAGTAATCAAAGAACAGTCCTGCCCAGAAAGAGGAGTTATCCCTAAATATGGTGTCCCTGGGACAGCTGGCCCTCCCTGCTGGACCTCTTCCACATGGATGCTTTCTGCAGTGACTTTGTTGTCTTGCTCTTCCACTCTACCCAGTGTCCTGACCCAAGAGACAAGGGGCGTCTGCTGCTGTGTCCACACTTGGAGAAGGAAATCTTGAAGGTGTCAGTACATTACAAGCTGGGCATGACAGCTCACTCCTGTAATCCCAGCAATTCAGGACGCTAAGGCAAGAGGATTGCTTGAGATCAGGAGTTGGAGACCAGCTTGAACAACATTGTGAGAACCTCGTCTCTAAAAGATATAAAAATAAGTAAACTTAGCTGGGCACGGTGGTGGGCACTTGTATTCCCAGGTATTGGGGAGGCTGAGATGGGAAGATCCCTTGGGCTTATGGATTCAAGTCTGTAGTGAGCTGTGATCGCATCACTGGACTCCAGCCCAGACCACAGAGTGGGATCTTGACTCAAACAACAACAACAACAACAAACATTGTAAACCTTTGCTCACCATGGGTTATTTTATTTATTATTTATTCAATGTGTATTTTGATTTTATTTTACTGGCAGCACAATAAACCAGGACCTGCTGAAACTAGAAATCACATCCACTTTCCAGTGTTAAAAAGCCCAGTCCAGGCAGGTGAGAAGGAGACAGTCCTCATTAGCGCTGAGGATTCAGGGAGAATGAGATGGGCTGGGCAGGAAGGTTTTTTTGTTTGTTTGTTTGTTTGTTTTCTATGAACAAGTGTGACTTTTTATTATGATAGAGTTGTTTTTATTAAAGGAATACATGAAAATGGTTAAGTAAAATCAAATGGCTCCAAAAGTCTTACAATGAAAACAACAGTCCTGCCAGTTGTTCTCTCGAGAGGCAAGCACTTTTCATTCTCTTAGTTTTTCCTCCTGGTAGTTACCTTCATGGGTTTTTCCAAATTATTATTTTTTTAGTTTTTCAAGTGGGTGCATATATTAATACATGTAATTTTAAAAAGCCTCTTCAGTTTATAATGCACCCTAACAGTCCCCTGCCCCATCCCTCCTAATTCTCCAGAGCAATGACTTTTAACTCTTTTAGCAATGTCTTCTATTTTTTTCTCACATAACTACTTAGTCATTTCTTGATTATTTTATACATTCTATAGTAATTTCTTGATATGACAGATGAGGATTTAGCTCTTACACCATCACTACCTTCACTTTTCCCCCCATATTGTCCCAAAGTAGTTACCAGATTTAGGGGCTAAGTAGTCACCACATCATTATGAGTATGTACATATTGCTCATTGTTGAGAAAAACAGAGTATTATGCTCTTGCTTCCTGTCTTGTGCTTCCTTCTGCCCTAGAATTAATGATTGCCTAACCACCCTTCCCCCTTGTTTTTTTTTTTTTTAACTTTTGCTTTATCTTCAATGAACTACTTTCCAAATGCCCCAAATCTGGCAATAACCTATTATTATTTTTAAGAGAAGGGAATCTTACTATGGTGGCCAGGCTGGTCTGGAAATCTTGGGCTCAAGCCAACCTCTTGCTTAGCCTCCTGAGTGGCTGGAACTACAGGCATGGGCCATTCTACCCAGCTAACCGATTAATATTTTTACTGTTTCTTTTTAAAGCCAGCTCCATAGCTGGAATATTTCCTGTGTTGGATCCTATTTGCTGGATCCATGTCATTCTCTGGTTTGTCTACTCCTTCATTTTGCTGGAGTATTTTCTCCAATAGTTTCCCAACAACAGATACATGGAGGTAACCCCTGAGTCTTTGCTTGCCTAAAAATGTATTATTTTACCTTCACCCTTGATTATTTGGCTGAATATAGATTTATTCGTTGAAAATAACTTTCTTTCTGGAATTCTGAAGGCATGGTTCCATTGTTTTCAGCTTCTTTTTCGAGACAAGGTCTCTTCTGTCACCCAGGCTGGAGTGCAGTGGCACAATCACAACTCACTGCAGCCTCGAACTCGCAGGCTCAATTGATCCTTCCATCTCAGCTCCCTGAGTAGATGGGACTACAGGTGTGTGCCACAATGCCCAGCTAACTTTTGTATTTTTTGTAGAGATGGGGCTTCACCATGTTGCCCAAGCTGATCTCAAGGTATCTGCCTGTCTCTGCCTCCCAAAATGCTGAGCCACTGTATTACAGGCATGAGCCACTGTGCCTGGCCAGTTTTTCTTTTATTCTCTCTCTACTTTCTTCATTTCTCAAAGGCATCTCAAACTCAGTGGGCCCAAACCCAGGGCAAACTCCATCAGAATATCCTGCTACTTCTGACTTTAAAATATATCTTAAATCACAGTTTCTTACTACATGCAACCCTTTGGTTCAAACTACCATCATCCCTCACTTGAACTTAGAATTGGTTTTCCTGCTTCTGTATTTTTTTAAAACATAAAATATTTCAAATAAACTATGCGTGGCTTTATACTTTTTACTACATAAAAAGAATAAAGATCTGGGGTGGCTCAAGCCTGTAATCCCAGCACTTTGGGAGGCCGAGGCGGGCGGATCACTTTAGGTCAGGAGTTCGAGACCAGCCTGACCAACATTGTGAAACCCTGTCTTCACCAAAAACACAAAATTAGCCGGGCGTCGTGGCACGTGCCTGTAGTCCCAGCTACATGGGAGCCTGAGGCAGGAGAATCATTTGAACCTGGGAAGTCAGAGGTTGCAGTGAGCTGAAGTTGCGCCATTGCACTCCGTCAGGGTAACAAGAGCGAAACTCTGTCAAAAAAAAAAAAAAAAGATATGAAGAGCTTATATACTTAAACATGAAATTGCTTTAAGTGTTTGCCATTCACCGTTCACATGCATGCCAGCAGCTTCTTACTGCAAACACCTGGGACTTGCTATAGAGCAGCTGGAGTACATTCTGCCCACACACAGGACAGGGAGCTGACAACCAAGGAGTGGGGGATCAATATGCCAGCTTTCTCCCCTCCGTTTCCCTGTATCTCAGCAGTATGGAGTTTGTTACCAGTGAGAACCTGCTCACTGGCTTTAAACTGGTTTTCTTACCTTCTCAGTTCCATTTCTCCGTACCTCAATTGATGATTTCTGGTAAGACCTAGAAAATAAACTGCTTTCACTGAAATTGCAGTCTTGGAACCTGCTTTGGGTTCCCCAAAAGACAGAAATATATTCATTTTCCCATCACTGGACTTCCAGGTTGTTTTCAATTTTTCACTGTTACAAACAAGGCTGCAACATTTGCATGCAAACCTCTGGGTATACACGTAAGGAGCTTTCGGTATTTCCCACTAGTGAAACTTCTCAGTTGGAGGGTATGTGCATCTTCATCTTTAAGAAATACTACCAACATTTGAAAAGCCCGACAATGTCAAGGACTGGCAAGAGTCCCATATGCGATGGGTGTGGAATGGCAGCTCACTGTAGCAGGTGCTGGGGACTCGGTCAGGGTCTTGGAGAGGCACTTAATTATAGCAAGAATATTTCATAAGTGGTATCTGATATAGTCAAGATTAGTGGGGAGTAAAAACATGTTGCTTAGAAATAATTATCCAAAGATCTAAAGTCAACAAAAGTCTTTTTTTCTAATGTAAAAATATAAACTTTTTTTTCAGAGGGAGGGGGAACAACTTAAAATAAACCAGAAAACACCTTCATATTAATCATTCTTCTCATATACTTGAAATTTGTACTTAATACATCCAAGAGAACGCCTGGATATTCTGGCAGAATTTTATATTTCTCCAAATCAATTTCTGGAAAAAACGTGTCACTTTCAAAGTCCTGCATGATCCTTGTCACAAATAGTTTAAGATGGCCTGGGCGACTCATGGCTTCCTTATAAACAGAACTGCCACCAACTATCCAAATCATGTCTACTCTATTTGCTAATTCTGGTTGTTAAGTAAGTTTTAAGATCTCATCCAGACTTCTGGCAAGAAAATGAGCTCGTTGTGGAGGTTCCTTGAGTTCTCTGCTGAGAACTAAATTAATTCTATCCTTTGAAGGTCGATTCTTCCCAGGAATGGAGAACCAGGTCTTCCTACACAAAATCACCAGATTCTGTTTACCTTCTACTGAAGAGATTGTGTCATTCTCTGGAAATACCTAAATTCATTCCTGAGCGGCGGCCAGGGCAGGTCCCCGTTCTTGCCGATGCCCATGTTCTGAGACACAGCGACGATGCAGTTTAGCAAACGAACCATGACAGCAGCGGTGAGCTCCTCCAAGCCCGCTCGCTACACCAGGACGCGCGGCCAACATTGGCCGGAAGGTTTTTACTTGGAAACTGGAGGATGAGCCATGACATCCCTCTCTCCACCTCAAAGCTCGTCCTGGGCATCCACCTCCTGGGAGCAGAAGCAGCGCAGCAGCGCCACCTGGTGGTCGATGCGCTTCCTTTGCAGATCACGCACAGCCCTGAGATCCACCTCTCCTTCCTACGCACCACGCATTTCTTCACTGGACACCAGCCCGCGTCAATCTTCCTGTAAAGCAAAAGAAGCGTGAGGTTGGTGGGGGAGGAATGGTGTTATCTCCACCTTTGGCGAGATCCATGTCACCGTGTTCAGGGGAAGGGCCAGGCCTTACTCCCCATGCAGAGAGGAGGCTCTGGCCGTGAAGGCGCCTGTGGAGAGGTGAGGACCCGCTCCCTCTACACTGATGGCCAAGAGCCTGCAGATGGCGGGGAAGGCTTCCCTTCAGCTGTGTCCTATCAGGTTCTTCCAGGAGTCCAGGAGTAGACCTGCATATTGCCTCTGGTGGTGTGAGCTGCATGCACACCTAGAAGTGAGGTCACCCCTTCTGGGGGTCCTGGGGCTGCTGGTTGTCCTGGGTGCTCAGAGGGAAGATGGGGAGGGGGCTTCGTGCAAAACAGTAACCATACTCTATAAATTATTTTTTCATTAGCCTTTGTGTCATAAAATAAAATCTAGGACTCCAAAAGGAAAAAAAGAAGGTCTAAAATTTGTGTCCTTTAATAAAAAGTAAACACCCATTAACCACCAAGGATAGACGTTTGCGGAGCAAACCAGAAGTCCCATCATTTGCCCCAGCTCAGCAATAAACTCTTTCCTCCCCCAAATAAAAATACATCCTGACTTTTACGATCACAACTTCTTTGTTCTATTTTATATTTTTATCATCCAAAACTGTGATTTAGTTTTACCTTTAGAAATATGCTTTTGTTCTCTTTTATTCTATAGATTCTTTCTTGAAATTTATATTGTGTGGTAGAGCTTCCCATAGTGTGCATTTTGCTGATTGCTCCCCAAGCCATTGTTTGAATATGTGTTTTTATTATCTGTATTGCCTCTAAATTGGTAATTGGCTATGGAGGTTAGCTTCTATTCAGGCTTGATTTCTTTCTCACTTGTATTTGTTTGATGGTGCTGTATTGTGTTCTTCCATCAAGAGGAAGAACCTCACATTAGTTTTTTTATTGTGTTGTTAATCGCCATTGCTGTTCAATGGTTAAATCTGTTAATTCTTGATGGGTTGCAAAAGAGTTATTATAGTCTCAGTCTCTCGTTCCTTCCTCATTTATTATCTGAATAATTTCTAAGTAAGAGATTCACCCTCCTGTACTGTTTGTTTACTACTAGAAACTTGCTTTTTGAGAGACTAAGCCAAGCATCTACTCACCTATGACCCAGCAATAGCAGTCTTAGTTATCAACCAATAGAAATGCATGTATGTGTGTGCCAAAATATATGAAAATATTATTCATAGCATCACGATTTGTAAAATCTGGATATAACACAATTGTCTATCAACAGCGAAGGGACAAGAAATGTGAGCTATTTATAAAGTGGAGCATTGGACAGCCATGGGAGTGAATAGGCTATGACCACACACAGCAGGATGATGAGACCCAGGGGCATGATGGTGACTGTATAATGCCATTCAACTGGAACTGGCAGAACTTATCTGTGTTAGAAATCAGGAGTGGCTACTCTAGGGTTGGGGAGGGTGGTTTGTGACTGAGTAAGATCCAGTGATGTTTCTGGGAGGCTGTGATTGGTGTACTTTGATGTGGGTGTTGTTTACCTGAGTGTTCACTATGTGAAACTCCACTGCCCACTTGTGGATTGTCCTTCTTTCTCCACGCATGCTGTCCTTCACTCAAATATACTTTGCTGATGTTTTGAAGCAATTTTATCTACGCTAAGAAAAATCGCTCCTACTGCACATCCTTGGAAATGCTGGATTGAAAAAATTAGTGCAATTGTTTTTAATTCCAGGAAACAAATACATATAAAGAGGAAAATCTACAACAAGAGCAGTAGGTTTGGGAGCTGACACCAGAACAGCTTTGGAAATGGCTCTCGAGCCAGGAACTGGGGATCAAACCCAAACAAACCCATAGGAGGTGGGGGGTGTGAAATGATGTCCAATAGCGCATGAATGAACGAGTCATGGGCAGTGGCTCATGGCTTGGCTGGCCAGTCACAAACTTGAGGAAAATAGAGTTGGAAAACTGGGAGGTAGAGGAGAGAGGTACGCATAGACCTCTTGCTATAGGCCGAGTGTGTGACGATAGTGGTTGTGTGTGGATGCCTACCAGAGGGTCTTTAAGGGGATGGGGCTCCCTGTAACCAGGTGGGTGAGATGGCTTGATGGACGATGCCACTCAGCCACACAGGCCTTGCTCATGGAGTCCCTGCACAAAGTGGCCATGGTGGCTGCGATGGACACTGCATGGGCACAGCAATTGCGTCGCCACTCACCAAGGCTGACCCGGCAGCTGCCACTGCTGAGGGCCCAGCCCACCAAAAGCAGCTGTTTTTTTGACGGAGAAATAAAACAGGCAATGGTAATTAAGAATAAAATAACATTATGATAGATAAATATGCCACTAAAGATATAGTAGAGGTTTAAATAATTTTGAGACTATGAACAAGATTATGGCAATGGGGAGAACTTACTACAAGTAAAGAAGTTAAAACAGTTGTAAAACTTTATTTCCATTCAGGCATATCCAGACTGTTTTACACATAAGTTCTACCAAAACTTTGAAGAAGGTTACTGAACTTATACGTAATATTCAAGAGAATGAGGAAACATAGAGAAAGCCAGTAAACTCATTATTGTTTATGTATAAATAACATTGATTCTAAAGCCAGCTAGGGAATACATAAGAGAAAAGCATGATAAGATAATCACTTCTAAGCAATTAGAGGTAAGAATACTGAGAAAAATAGTACTAGATTGTGTCCACCAGTGAACTATAAATAAATTAAATATCCTGCCCAGGTTATTCATCCCCAGAATACAAGAATATTTAAACTTTAAATCTGTAATGCATTTTAGCACTTAATTAAAGAATAAAAGACAGAGATAATGATGTTTTATTAGATGCAGAAATTACTGCAGATGAAACTCAACACTCCATCTCACCCACGTTTCTTCAGTTATCTCCACTTCTAAGAACTTGTGATCAGTACTCGCTTTGGCAGCACATATATTAAAATAGGAATGATACAGAGAAGATCAGCACGGCCCCTGCACAAGGGTGACATGCAAATTCATGAAGCATTCCATATTTTTAAACTCTCAATAAACTAGGTATTGAAGGAACATACCTCAAAATAATAAAAGTCATCTATGACAAACCCACAACCAGTATCATACTGAATGCGCAAAAGCTGGAAGCATTTCCCTTTAACACCAGCACAAGGCAAGGATGCCCTCTCTCACCATTCCTGTTCAACACAGTATTGGAAGTTCTGGCCAGGACAATCAGGTAAGAGAAAGAAAGGATATTCAAATAGGAAGAGAGGAAGTCAAATTGTCTTTGTTTGCAAGTGACATGATCCTATATCTAGAAAACCCCATTGTTTCGGCTGAAAAGCTTCTTAAGCTGAAAAGCAACTTCAGTTAAGTCTCAGGATACAAAATCAGTGTGCAGAAGCCACAAGCATTCCTATACACCAACAATAGACAAGCAGAGAGTCAAATCGTGAATAAACTTCTATTCACAATTGCTACAAACAGAATAAGATGCCTAGGAATACAGCTCACAAGGGAATTGAAGGATCTCTTCAAGGAGAACTACAAACCGCTTCTTAAGTAACTCAGAGAGGACACAGACAAATGGAAAAACACTCCATGCTCAGGGATAGAAAGAATCAATATTGTGAAAATGGTCATACTGCCCAAAGTAATTTATAGATTCAATGCTATTCTCATTCAACTACCATTGACATTTCTCACAGAATTAGAAGAAACTATTTTAAAATTCATATAGATGATTGACATTAAAGGTAAAATTAAAATTAATATATAAAATAAAACTCAAAATTTTCAAGCCATTTGGAGCTTGTCTTGAGCTAATGAGATTAAGCTCATGTCCTCAAGAAAAATGTTTTACTCTGCTGTTTTTAAGGGTGCTTCTATAGAAAGAGTTTGAGAATCATTAATATGGATTATAGAAAATCAGGCTTCATTTAAAAATAAATGTATTTAATCCTAAAAATAGCTTTACTTAAAATGTTTATTGTTGCAGATAAGAAATCTATCTTATTTGAAAAATCAGAAATTGGACATGTCAGTGATTATAGGTTTTTTTTTTTTAAATCTGAACATGAAAAAGTTTTCCCCAGTTTTAAGATAATTTACCATGCTATTCAAGTCAGCCTAAAATTTTAAAAAGCTACTACATAATAAGGTAGGGGTTGAAAAAAGAAATATTTCAGATTCAGAGAATTGTCTTTTTTTAGTACTAACTAAAACATTTAAAAAACTACATTTAATGATGTCATTCTAAATTGGCTCAGTAATATTAAATGAGGAATTTATGTTCCAGCAAACAGTGGATGAATGTGTCTATGGAGAGCATTGTTTCAAAATGTTTTAACAAATATAGCATTGAAGTTCTTGCTATTTTATTCAATTTCAGCCACTATTCTTTTTAGTTGATTTTTTTGTCAATCTTAAATTTTCAAAAGAAAGATTGTTTTCAAATTATTTTATATTTAATGAATAATGTTATACATTACTGATTATTTAAATTGAAAAAAATTAAAATAAAAATAAAATTCATATAGAACCAAAAAGA
Source organism: Homo sapiens (assembly GCF_000001405.40). Taxonomy (NCBI): domain Eukaryota; kingdom Metazoa; phylum Chordata; class Mammalia; order Primates; family Hominidae; genus Homo; species Homo sapiens. Next base: position 2,680,360 of record NT_167246.2, read on the forward strand.
ACTTGTATAGCCAAAGCAATCCTAAGCAAAAAGAACAAAGCTGGAGGCATCATGCTACTTGACTTCAAACTATACTACAAGGCTACAGTAACCAAAACAGCATGGTACTGATACAAAAACAGACACATAGACCAATGGAATAGAATAGAGAACTCAGAAATAAGACCACACATCTACAACTATGAGACTTCAGTGACCACATACAATAAAGAATACAGTCTATACAAAAATAGTTTAGAAAATGTAATTTTCACAGTTACCACATTATAATATTGAAAATGTCTAGTTTTCAACTTCAAAAAACATGAGTTATGCATGTATGAGAGTATGACTCATTCACAGGAAAAGCAATAGAAAGAAATTGTTCCTGAAGAACAATGGACTGACTTACTAGACAAAGACTTTGAATCAACTGTCTTAAACATAGTCAAAGAGCTAAAGGAAACCATGGACAAATAACTAAAGAAAATCAGGAGGACTATGTTTCACTAAATAGCAGAAATCAATAAATAATTGTGAAAAGGAAGCAAATGGAAATCTGGAGCTGAAATGTACGGGAAGCAAAATGGAAAATTGACTGGAGGGCTTCAAGGGCAGATTTTAGTTTGCAGAATGAAGAATCAGTAAACGCAAACATAGGCCAATTGAAATTGCCCATTTGAGGAGCAGAAGGGAAAAAGTATGAAGAAAAAAGAACAAAAGAGATCTAAGAGACAACATCAAGTATATGCATTTTGGGAGTTCCCAAAAGAGAGAAGGAAGAAGGGGGGAGAAAGAGTATTTGAAGAAATAATGACCCCAAACTTCCGAAATTTTTTTGAAAACATGAATCTGGGTATCCAAAACACTCAAACATTTAAAGTAGCAGTAATTCAAAGATGTCCACACTGACAGACATTATATTGAAACTGTCGAAAGTCAAAGACAAACAGAGCATCTTGAAAACAACAAGAGAAGGGACTCATTGAGTGCAAGGATCCTCCATGAGATTAACTGCCAAGTGTTCTTCAGAAACCATGGAGTTCAGAAGACATTGGCATGACAAACTTAAAGTTCAGAAAGAAAAAAAAAACCTGTCTCAACTGACAGTTGCATATTTGGCAAAACTCTCCATGAGAAATAATGGAGAAATTCAGACATGCACAGGTAAATAAAAGCTGATGGCATTCGTCTCTGGTAAACCTATTCTACAATTAATGCTAAAAGGAGTGCTTCACACTGAAATAAAAGGACATTAGATGGCAACTTGAAGTCATATGAAGCAAAGAAGTACACAGCTAAAAGTAATTTCATAGGTAAATAGAAAAGCAAGTATTTTTTGGGGGGTGGTAATTTGTAACTCCTCTTTTGTTTTCTCTATTTAATTTAAAAGAAAATGCCCATCAACCGATGAATGGATAAACAACATGTAATCTATTCTGCAATGGAATATTATTTGACCACAAAAGGAATAATGTACTGATACATGCTACAACTTGGATGAACCTTGAAAACATGTCAAATGAAAGAAGCCAGTCACAAAAGGCCATAGATTGTATGACTCCATTTTAATAAAATATTCAGAAGAAGAAAATCTAGAGAGACAGAAACTGGGTTAATGGTGCCAGGGGCTGGTGGCAGGGGAGAGTGGAAGGTGACTGCTTAACGGGTACAGAGTTTCCTTCTAGGGTGGTGAAAATGCTCTGGAACTTGATAGTGATGATGGCTGCATAACGTTGTGCACCTACTAAATGTTACTGCTTTGTACACTTAAATGGTCACAATGGCAAATTTTGTGTTTACGTGCATTTTATCACAACTAAAAAGAGGCTGGCAAATATATTCCAAGTTTGCTTGGAAATCTGCCCATCTGTCTTTTCCCCTCAGGATTTCATCTCTTATTCAGAGCTCACCCTTGCTCTTCTGCAAGTAGAAAGCCTCCTTTCATGCAGGGACCAGCCCCACAGGGTCGGTGGGTCTCTCCCTGTGTGCGATGAGAGAGTGTAGAAATAAAGACACAAGACAAAGAGATAAAAGAAAAGACAGCTGGGCCAGGGGACCACTACCACAAACGCACGGAGACCAATAGTGGCCCTGAATGTCTGGCTGCTCTGTTATTTATTGGATACAAAGCAAAAGGGGCAGGGTAAAGAGTGTGAGTCATCTCCAATGATAGGTAAGGTCACATGGGTCATGTGTCCACTGGACAGGGGGCCCTTCCCTGCCTGGCAGCCAAGGCAGAGAGAGAGAGGAGACAAAGAGAAAGACGGCTTACGCCATTATGTCTGCATATCAGAGACTTTTAGTACTTTCACTAATTGACTACTGCTAACTAGAAGGCAGAGCCAGGTGTACAGGATGGAACATGAAGGCAGACTAGGAGCGTGACCACTGAAGCACAGCATCACAGGGAGACGGTTAGGCCTCCGGATAGCTGCGGGCAAGCCTGACTGATGTCAGGCCCTCCACAAGAGGTGGAGGAGCAGAGTCTTCTCTAAACTCTAAGTGTGCTAAGTAGTGGGTGTTTTTCCTTGACACTTTTCACTACCACTAGACCATGGTCTGCCTGGCAATGGGCGTCTTCCCAGACACTGGCATCACCGCTAGACCAAGGAGCCCTCTGGTGGCCCTGTCCGGGCATAACAGAAGGCTCGCACTCTTGTCTTCTGGTCACAACTCACTATGTCCCCTCATCTCCTATCGCTGTATGGCCTGGTTTTTCTTAGGTTATGATTATAGAGTGAGGATTATTATAATATTGGAATAAAGAGTAATTGCTACCAACTAATGATTAATGATATTCATATATAATCATATCTAAGATCTATATCTGGTACAACTATTCTTGTTTTATATTTTATTATACTGGAACAGCTCGTGTCCTCAGTCTCTTGCCTCGGCACCTGGGTGGCTTGCCGCCCACACTTTCAGAATACGGTCCAAGATCAGCCAGGTCCAAACCCCAAAATGACTTTCTGTCTTGCTTCCAAATGCTCAGATGCAACTCTGGGGCTAACTTCAGGGGAAGTTAGGAGATTATCCAAATAAGATGGTTCACTGGGAGAAAGAATGTTTGGCTTTAATGTTAGGGAAGTTATGTTTGCATTTCTAAAAAGGATCCTGCTCACCAGTGAATATATGGTTTTTGTCTGTGCAGGATGGAGTTCTCAGCAGAGGAATGAAAGACAGCCCTAGGAACATGATACACCTCATGGGTAGCTGACTGACCCACCCATCTGCCACCCCCAGCTGAAGGAAGCAGCTAGACTGTACCCTTCGCCCATCCTTCAGTTGTATTCCACTGGACGTGGACCCTCTACAAGTGTGGACATTCCTGGATCTCAGTTGCTCTTCCTGCTGTTGAGGAGTCTCCACTGGTGTGGCTCATGCCTAGATGGGCTCTGCAGGAGGCTTAGTGTCTCCCAGTTCTCAAGGCTAATATTCAGTGAACCCAGACCAAGCCTCAAAGTACACAGGGGCTCAGATTTTCATCTATGAAATGGAAGAATCCATCTCCCTCTTTCAGGTGTTGTGGTAATTATATATATATATGTAGACACACACATTTATACATGAACACATACATGACAATCCGTAATCTATATATTGATGGTGTTCTTAGTGTTGCCTTTATTGCTCAGCTGAACTCTATAACCAAAAATTGGATCATGGATTGTGAAGGAAGAACTCATTTCTTTTCTCTGGTGGAGCACTTGGTAGACATTTCTGCCCTTTGGGTTCAAATGAGAAAGTAGCTTTAGCCTGAGGGAGAAAGAAGATTATGACTATTATTAGTATTATAATAGAGATAAGGTCTTGCTATGTTGCCCAGGCTGGAGTGCAGTGACTATTCACAGCTGTGATCATAGTGGACTACGTCCTTGAACTTCTGGGCTCCAGCAATGTTCCAGCCTCGGCCTCCTGAGTAGCTGGGACTACAGGTGCATGCCACCATGTCTGGCCTCATTTCATTGTTATTTTACTTCAAATGCTTTATTTTAAATGTTAAAATATATGTTTTTATATTCAAAAGTGAAACCCTATTTGATCACAGAAGACGTTAAAATGCACAGACAGTTAGAAACATCACCTAGGCCTTTCTTTAAAAAATCACTGCTATTATATTGTTGAACCTTTGTAGACTGCAGTGCAAATGGTGGTCCCTGGAGCTGTCTTGTGCAGTGGTGCTGATTTTCATTTCGTTATTTTCTATATATGTATTTTTATATATGCTGTCATTTTACAAAGTTGCATTCATATGTTAAGGGTTATCTTGGATGTTGCTTTTGGAATGTATTATTATACAAGTAGTTTTCCATGTTATAAGCTCTGCATAAAGTTTATACACTTTTACAAGCCATATCCCATTTCAGATAAGAAGATGTAACCCAACTTCTTTTTTTGGATCCATCTGCCTTCATTTCGTCTTGTTGTAAATAATGTTTTGACAAGCATCTTTATATAGAAAGATCCTTCTATGTTTGGAATTTTAGAAAATGCATAGAATACTCAAGTGATAAACATTAGGACACAGACTTTTAAACATTTTTAATTATTTTCATCACATTGTCACATTGGTTCTCTAAATTGTCATACTGACATATTCCACCTCACCTTTCAGGACATGCTAGGACTCAAGGCTATTTACGCATCTGGAATCACAGAGGGGTGTTGGGGGTGAATGTTGAGTGGAATCACAGGGTCTTGAGGGCAACTCCCTCAGAGAAGACCATTACCTTTTCGTTAGGGAAAGCTGGATTAACTTCGCCAAATGTGGTTGAATGAAACTGGCAAATAATTCTCAGAGGAATTTAGGAGTTCAGTGTCTTTAGCTTCATCAGGATCTGCCCAGATGTCCCCATTCTGATTTTCAGTATCACATTTATTCCCAATCAATGCCTTCACTTAAATAACAGATATTCTTTAAGTTTGGGATTTGTTTTGTGTTGTAATTTAGCTACCCACAGAATGAGACGCTGCATTTATTTTTCAGAAATTTCATCCCTGCAGCTACAGGAGATTAGGATTTCATTCAAAGGAAACATAGAAACTTTTAGGTGAGTTATGTGACTCATGAGCTGGAAGTTTGCAGCCCTGAGTTCATCTTTTTCTTTCCCCATTTTGTCCAGCACAATTGGCAAAAATTAGCTAATCACCTTATAATAGCTAGTTTAACAAAGTCTTCTAAGGTCTCAAATACATAGTCACCCAGATCTTATAAGTATTTGATTAGGTCTATCCAATGGTGATATTCTGAGTATTCACACTCTCTGTACTAATGGAAATAGAGTCATTTGTGCCTTTAAATCCAAATAGATTAGAGAAACAATTCAAGAAACCCCCCCTCACCACCAAATTCAGTACATTCATTCTTAAAATTCTGTTCCAGTGTCCCTATGCCCCAGTAAGCTAGGCTGGGCATGGTCTGAGGCTTGGTGGGCCAAGGACAGCTGGCTCAGCTGGGGTGCACTATGCACTGGTGGGTCAGCAGCCCAGAATGGTGCTGGATTTATGGGCACCAAGCCTATTCGGGAGTTGCACACACTGAGTCGGGCTCCAGTGGCCCCTAGGCTTCTAAGGGGCACTCTCCTCCTGCTAGTGCCAAGCTAAGCTGTGGGGAGCAGCATGCCTCTGCATGCTGCCTGACAAACTGCAGCCCCAGCCCCTGCCACAGACACCCTGGCCTGTACCCTAGTGCTTTGTATGGCTGTGGCTGTTCAGCCGCTACTTCTGATCCCCTAGGACTGGGAGCAGCCCGCCTGGGGGAGACCATCAGGATGTCTATGGAAGGCTGCTTCATGCTACAAGGGCAGAGTTAAGTCTTTGGTATAGAGACTGGTTGGCAAAGTTGAAAATGTTGCCCCAGGTCCTTTTGGGGATTATTTACCAGCCCCTGGTTTGAGTGTTGTCTGGCAGGACCCAGGCTCTGGGAGCTGATCCTCCCTCACTCAAGGCCTGCTGCAGCCTCCCGCTGAGGTCTTGAAACCATCAGGAGCAGTGGTTCTTTGGTCTCCGGGACACTGCAGGGCTGAGTTGCTCCCTGCCTGGAGGTGGTCCCATGGGGCCCACTGTCTGGGTCAAGGATGGTGCAGAGCTGGTGTCCTCAAAATGCATCCTGGTGGAGCCGCAGCAGCTGCAGGTGCTGACTGCCTCTCACGAGGACCCTGGGGGCCTGCAGCTGCAGCGACTCACCCAGCATGAGCGGTGCCACTCATTGTGCACATGACAGATGCTCCATCCTCAGGAGATGACAAAGACGTGGAGGACAGGCTGAAGACACAAGTGCATAATCTCCTACTCACCTCATCTGGCACATTAGAAACCTGTCCTCAGCTCATGCACAAATCCACCTTTGGGTGGCCAAAGGCTCCAGCTTACTACAGAGGCCATGTGTACTCTGTGTAATCAACACACCCCAGCTTCTTCCCACCTCCAGTCATCTCACTGTATCTGACATGATGCCAGCAGATTGTCTCAGCTCAAATTCCAGCTCTATTACTTACTGCTGTGTGACCTTGACCAAGTCACTTAACCTCTCTGTGCTTCACGAGCTTCCATTGTAAATGCATGTGTTTACATATGCCAAGTACCCAGAAAGATGCCTGGAACATGGCAACACCCACCACAGAAGTAGTAGCTGCAATTATTGCCTCATTAAAACAGTGGAGATGTCACCCATCAGGGCTAGAGAGAATTTGGGAAATCCTGATCTGCTTCTGGTTTCAGGTGGGGAAACTTGTAGGACCAGCAGGAACACGGCTGCCTCAGTGCAGCTGGCACAGGGCACTGCCAGCCCAGAGCAACTCAGAGCTCAGAACACTCTGGGGTCCGAAGTCCGAACTGCTGAGGCTCAACTGTGGCGTCAGTTATGGAATGTGGACCCCTCCCTAGGGAGTCTCCCGGGCTCAAAGTCTTCCCTCAACTCCAGAAATGCAAACCCAACACTGACCTCACGGAGAAGTTCTGAAGGTTAAGGAGGAAACACGTGAAAAGTGCCTGGTGGACACCAGGGATGCCAGTGAGATGGGGGACAATGGTGAGGCAGAGTGGAGGGGCAGGTGCCCCCTCCTCAGTATGTCTCCCCCAGGTGCTGTGAGGACAGGTGGAGGCTGTCTCCAGGCTCTCACCCGGCCACACACCAGCACGTCTCCAGGTTCCTCTCAGCCCCGGTTACCCCCAGCCCTGCAGTTAATCCCTGAGCTGGGAAGGAGCCCTTGAATCCACCCTGTCCTGTGTCACAGTGTGATCCACTCGGGCTCACATTGCCACTAGGCCACTTGGCAGCCAAGGGATGGGGCCACGTTTTGTACTTTCTGAAACATGGCTTCACCTTCAAGTGCGGGTGATGACAGTGCCACACAGAACAAATGTTACTGTCTATCCTCATCGACCATAATTTTCCAGTTTTCCAACCCTCAGTGAGCAAGAAAGAGCATGGCTTCCACCAAAGGGCGTGAGGTCAGCAGTCTTAGGGGCAACCAACAGGCAAAGACCCCTGAAAATAGACCCCACAGGGAAGCACAGGTATTCACTGAGGGTGGGAACCCTACAGATCTGGCCTTCTTCAAGCACATCAGAGAGATTGCCATGAGGAGCAACTTAGCCAGAAAGACTTATTTGCCTCCTCAAAAAGCGTAAAATTATGTAACATAATACTTTAAAAATTTCTATCAACACAAAACTAATCTGGGCGCTGTGGCTTCCGGTGAGCCACTGGGACAGACGGCATCGTCAGGAAGGCTGGCTCTGTGGTGCCTCAACCTGGCAGAGCCCAGGATGGTGGTGGCCTCCCCAGAAGCACCTGGCAACTCACCTGCACAGGGCCAGGGTCCCAGCTCCCCACACCCCAGCCACCACACCTTCTTCTGCTTTTTTTTTTCCATTGTTTCTTTCTTTCTTTCTTTCTTTTTTTTTTTTTTTTTTTTTGGTCAAATCTCAAGGAGAAATACATAGTTGCCAGAGGGTGGAAGGTCCTGTTCATTCACATTGAAAAGCTCGGGTATTTCTATTAGAATCACATGTTTTACTTTAGGATGCCGACTCCTGTGTCCATCTCAGCCTGGGCATTGTGCTGCCACCTTCCAGAAGAGAAAAACTAGGTAGTGCCTTGTGAAGGGGCAGCGTTTCTCATTTCCGACAACGTCAGTCCCACAGCCACCCAGATGAGTAGATGGGGGACACAGGGGAGGACCCAGACCTGCTCTCCTCCCACAGCACATTCTTGAGTCTTGGAAAGAGTTGTGAAAATGCCACAGGTACAAACACCTGCAGGCCACTCCCACAGGGACAGCTCCGTGAGGCGGTGCCGCTCATTCCCACAACCTCCTGCCACAGGCAACACTTAACACTTAGACAGTGACCCAAGGCCAACCAGGGAGGACGCCAGCCAGGATGTGTCATCCTCAGCTCTTCAGGACATGACGCCAGCAGGGGCAAAGTTATCCCTAGCAACAAGACAGAGGAAGAAAGGAAAACGGAAGAAAGGACAATGTCACAGTAGCCCCCATGACCAAGAGAGACGGTTCCAGAAGTGCAGGGCAACTCCATATGCAGATGCTGTTGCTGTGCGATTACACTCCAAGAGGGGAGTCCAGCTGGCTCTCAGGGTGCTCACTGCCCTCAGCTGGGTGCCTGCAGGACATCAAGTCCTGAGAACGCCAGGTTCTAGTGGAGTAGGATGAACTGACAGATACACAGCAAAGCTCCACATACTTTTCCTTTTCTTTGTGCCTGCAAAGTTCTTGTTCAGTGTCTCTCTCTTTCAGCTACTACTGCTGGTTGGTTTTAAAAAAACAAGACAATAGTAAAAATTGGAGACAAGTGTTTGGCCATAAAGAGAAACACTGGCTACCTCCCGTATTTTCAAGCATGGGTGATGGTTGCAAGGTGATCCAGCTCACCTTGTAGGGGATGAATCCAGAAAAAGCCTCTGTTACAAATCAAAATGGACATGCCGGAAGTATTAGCTCAAATCAACCTTGTCCTGTCTAACCACTTACTGACCCAAGATACCACTTGGACTATTAATCTCAGGGGCCAGAGAATGGAGCTGGAGAAGGAGTTGTTAGATCAGGGACAAATAACCATGTTATAGTGGCAACAGGAAATGGAAGACCATTTATTCATAACCATTTGAATCACAGCCAGGTGTATAAACACACATCATTGACTGATAGTTTCAGTTCTATGCCCAAGAAAATCATCGATGGAGTGAAGTAATTGAACTATCACAGAAGATACATTTGTATTTTTTCTTTTTTCAACTTTTAGATTCAGGGGGTGTGTATATATATAATATTTGTGTATATAAAATAATATATATATAATTAAAGAAAGCCTTTGTACAGTTTGCTGGAGCCACAGAAGCACTGCTCCAGAGCAGAGCAATGCCTTAAATCTTCAGTGTTCATTTGTAGAACATTCACTCACAGCTACAAAAGTGACTTAATTTTCTTCTGGAAATAATGCTTGCCTGTTGTGAGATGTTGGAATATATATGAACCATCATTACATGTTAACATGCCATAAGGAGTTTTTGATACCTGATTCACATTATTAGAGTTGCTTCTTAGTATCCATGTGAATTTTCACTCCAAAAACACAAGCTAGAAGCTTAAGTGAAGGACACCTAGGGCAAATGGTGGCTGAAAGTGAGGAAGATCCAAATTACTGTTGCTTGTACTGTATTAGGAAAAGAAAACAATTCTTTTCTTATTTGCCAATTTAATTCTTAATTTGCTAATTTGTAGTTATGCTTATATACATTTCAACATTTTAATAAAGTATTTTTTATGGTTAGCTATAAAATTTTTAAAAAGATTCTGTTCCTCTAGAACCACTCTTCGTACCACAGTCTCTATCAGTCCAGATTCTTCAGAGAAGCAGAACCAATAAGGTGTGTGTGTGTGTGTGTGTGTGTGTGTGTGTATTTGTATTCATATTATGATATTTATTCATGTGATTATTAGGGCGGTAAGTATGAAAATCTGCAGGATAAGCTAGCAGGCTGAAAACGCAGAAAGAAGATGTTCTAATTCTGAGGCAGGATTTCTTCTTCTCTGGGAAACCTCAGTTTCTGCTCTCAGAGTCTTCTACTGATCGGATGAGGCCCATCCACATTATTGATGGTAATTTTCTTTTTGTAAAGTCAGCTAATTCAGCATGGGGAAGGGGGTCATGGTAGACATGGGGGAGGGCTGGTCTCTCCACCTCCTCACACTAGGCTAACAGGGACACAGACACATTCAGATGCCTTTGCAGAAAGAGACACCAGAGGCTCCTGAAGTCACAAAGGGGCGGCATGAAGAAATCCTGCATCTCAGTCCCTCACAAGACAGCTGCCTCAGGCTACAGAAAACAATAGTCATGAACAAATTCAGGTCAGTGGCCATAAAGCGTAACACTCTGAACTCCCCACTACACACTCAAAGTGTCCCAAAGAATCACCGTAATCCAGTCTTGTCCCCTGTACCCCATCCCCCTTCCACATAAGGCCCTCCAGGACGCCACCTTTACAAGCTGTGAGAGACACATCACAGCCCTGGTCACTGTCACTGCCTGGGGTAGAACAAAAACAGGACCCGGTCAGAGCCTGCAGGAGATGTGGGAGAGGAGGAATTATGGCATAGGTGAGCTCCTCCACATCTGTCTCCCATAGTTACACACAGCCTGAGCACCTCCTTCTCTGCCTCTGGGAAGAAATCATCCTGTGAGGGGCTAGGGAAGAGACAGGGCCATGAGGTCCTAGAGGAACCCCCTAGTCTTGGACCCCAGAGAAGTTTCCAAAACTGTGACTGCAGACCCAGCGCAGGAAACATGAAGAAAGCAGGTGTGAGGACTGAACCAACTGCACGGTATGTAAAGACATACTTGGTACATAGTAGATACAAAGTTAGCTTTGGTCTTTGGTGAATTCATGAATATGATTGTATTAAAATGTAATTGCATTGCATAAACATTATAAAATGAAGAATACAAAAAATTAGGAAAGATTTTATCTTATACAAGGAGTGTACATTTCAATTCACTAATTTATTCCAATAGAGAAAATGTTATATGCTTATCTGTTGGTCTATGTATGAATTTTCTGTTACTGCATAACATATTACCACTAACTCACTGGCTCTACACAGCACCCATTTATTTCTCTACATTTCCTTAATGAGAAATCCAGGCCTGGTGTGAATGATTCTCAGCTCAGGATTTCACGAAGCTGTGTCCTCATCTTGAGGCTGGGGTCCTCCTTCCAGCTTATACAGAGCTTGGTGGCAGAATTCAGTTTCAGGCAGTTGTGGGATTGTAGTCCTTGTTCCTTGGCAGCTGTCAGGTGGAGGTGGGGTGGAGCTGCTCTCAATTCCTGGAGCCCGCCATATCCTTTGCCACATGGCCCCTTCATTTTCAAAGCTCACAGCGGAGGAAGCCCCTCACGTTGAATCTCGCTCACACTGTGAATCTCTTTGCTGAAGAAGAAATAAGTTGTTTTAAGAGCTCACCTGATTAGGACAGTCCAAGGCAGGATAATCATGGCCTTAAAGTCAACTGATTTGGGACCTTGCTTATATCTGCAGAATTCCTTCACAGCGGCACCTACAGTAGTGTTGATTGAGTAACTGGGGGAAGGTGAATAACCAGGGGTGGTTATGTGGAGGCCATCACTGAATCATCCTCCCATAGTCAGGATCTTCCTTTTCTGTTTAATTGGGTCACAGTAGGAAACTGAAGTTCAAATAAATAGATTGTTGTGAATGTTAATAAAATACATCCTATTGATACATGGAAATACTGAAATCTTAAAACCAAATAACACTGAATATCTTTTAGTTAATTTAGAGTAAATAAAAATTAAAGTGTAGTAATTCATTCTCTCTTTTGAAGCGCTATTGTCTATTGTTGTATAATAAATAACATAAAGTTTGACAACCCAAAACAACAAATTCTTATCATCTCCCACAGTTTCCAGTGGTCAGGAATCTGGGAGAGATTTCCTTGAGTGCTTCTGGCTCAGAGCCTCTCACCAGGTTTACTGGGGGACACACCTGTCAAAGAATACGGGGAGGGAGCCAGATAACCCTGGGAAAAGTGGCAGGCCCAGAGGCAAGGCTGACTCCAGTCCTGGACAAAAGGAAAGAAGGGTTGTTGGACGCATCCTAGACCACAGGCAATCTAAGGAGAGTTGAGCAAGGCCATGGAGGAGTCCTCCAGCCACAGATGGCCAACAGAGGAGTCCCCTGTTGCCCAGGAATGGTCTGTCTTAGTGCCCCTGCTGTTACGTGTCAGTGGCTGGGAACAGCCCATGGGAAGCAGGGCCTCTGCACCAATGCTGCTGAGAATGACAGAGCACGGGAGGGAGGCCTTGGGAAATTTCCTGGAAATGCGGCTCAAATCTTCCTCCTGAGGGGTCTGGGCCTTTGGAAATCAAACGCTGTCAGACTGGGTTGCTGGACGATTCTGTTCACATTTACAATGGGACAAGGTGAATAAGGAGGCCCCCAGGTGAATCTCTGGGTTCCACACAAACTCCTCCTGCCCTTACTGTGTATCAGCAGCCCTGCCTCGTCCTGGGGATCAGGATCCATCACCCCTGCCTGGAGAGGAGGGGAGTGCTCCTCTTCCCTGCTTGTCTCTAGGCCCATACTGTCCTGCGGGCAACTGTAATGTGTAGCTCAGTGGGCTCTTGTTTGTCCCCTTGTCTGAATGCCTCCCTGTGGAAAACCAGGACCTCCTATACTACAAAGCCCAGATTTGGGAGATGAGAAGTGCAAGTTCCACAGTGGGTGAATGTAAGGGATGGGACATGCAGCCACACTCTCTTCCATCCCTTTGTTTCTGGACCCAAGTTTCTTCCTACTGAGAATACAGAACCGTAGTGATGTCTCTGATTCAATAAATGCACCGTGCCCTGAAAGATGGCACCCATTCCTCAGTGTTTCCTCCAAGCTGGTTCTGAGTTGTTCCTGTTGAAGGCCTGTCCAATGTTCTGTGTGGCCGGCAGCCCCCGCAGGGTGCAGATGGTGATAGGATCAGTGGATCCCCTGGTCATGGCCCATGCTGCACCCACTTCCATTTCCCTGTGAGGTGGGTCCCCCAGGAAGAGGCTGTGCTGAGAGTAATTCCAAACCTGTGGATCAGGAATGTCAGTGGTGCTGGCTGAGAGTCTGAGAATAGTGAGGGAAAAAGCCTACCCATGGAGGAAGTGTCTGTCCCAGTGAGGATGAATCTCTGGCCCTTCCATGATGAGGCTCAATGTGGTCAATGTGTCATTTAGTGGCGCTTTGATCACCTAAAGAAATAGTGCCTAAGCAGGGCACATCAGGGCCTATCACAGGTGTCTAATCCTAACAAGTTGGATATTCAGAGGTGGCAGCAGCTAGTTCGGCCTTGGTAGGTGGGAGTCTTACCTTTTGGAGGCTACCTATGGGTCCAGCAGCACTGACTCCCACCGACCAAGGCCACTGAGTGACCTGGTGGGATGGGCACGTGAAGGGAGCTATTGTGATTCCTGCATGCATGTTCCCACCCTGCAAGGTCTGAGTTGGCCCCCAGTGAAGGCTGGCTAACTTCCATTTGTCTGCTTGGTTGTTCAGTGCCACCTCAGGGGCAGGTATTTTCTGGGCAGATGGGGTGTTAACTTGGGGTTTGGGCTCATTCCACATGGACCATTTCCATCTCATGATGGACACTGTTGGGCCTGTCCAATCTATAACTCTGTAGGTCACACAGAAGCCAATTCATACAACCACTTGGAATTACGTGGTTCTCAGTGTCCTGTGGTCAAGAATTCTATCTGATCAGGGCCAGCAACACTAAAAGTTGCTTCGAGAAGGGGGCATATATTTCTGCTGTGGATGACATGAACTTACTCCAGAATCCCAGGCCCTCCATTGTGACTTTCCCCACTGATGCTCAGTTCACTCCATCCTGCATCTTTCCCCAGCCCTGCCACCTCCAGCACCAGGGGGTCTGAGGGATGGTGGCTGCCTGCACCACAGCCTGGATCTGCTGCAGAGTCCTTTCCTGTGTAGGCTCCACTTGAATCTGGCATCCTCCTATGTCACCCAAAATGTGGCCAAAATGATATACCTAGATATGGAATGTGGTGTTGTCAGAACCCAAAGAGATTCACCAGGCAGTCTGCTTCTCTCTCTTTTTTTTTTTTTTCTCACTGAAGATGAAAGATGCAACGGGTTTTTTTTCTGTTTTCTTTTGTTTTTACTTGGAAGAAATATCTCTGCATGCACCTAGCCACTGGACCCATAAAATTTCACTGCAGTTGCCACTCCTAAAGTTTTGTAAGATTTATCCTCCTCTTTCTGGGGTGCATGTGTTTTACCAAGACCTCCAGCATACTTTCCACCTTCTTTCTCATCCATCCCAATCTATGATGTTGCCAATGAAATGAACAGATTTAATATTCTGTAGAATGTCCAGCATCTCTTAAGACTATGTTACAGATGACAGAAGAGTTATAATAGCTCTCAGGGAAACTGTAAATAAATGTGGTATGAATGTGAATAACTCCATATCCACTTTCTAGCTGGAAAGGAATGCACTCAGCAAATCCTCGGCTGCACACCATTGGCCTGCAGCCTCATTAACCTCTGCTAGCAGTGATATCCAGCCAGCATGGCAGCTGCAATCAAGACCACTACTTGGTCAAATGTGAAGTAATCCTGTTCATTCTTTAGGTCCTATTGGGCTTCTGCAAGGACAGAATACACGGAGATAATAGGCAACTCCAGCACTATCCCACCTCCTACAGCTCTCTAATGGTGGTGATACCCCCCACAATACCTGCAATAACCTCCAAGACCTGCCCTGGGACGTAATATCGCTTCGATTGGGATAGGGGCAGTTTCAGAGGTTTCCCTTTAGCCTTCAGCGCAATAAGAGCCATTAATCCACAGGTTAGAGACGCGGTGTGGGGGTCACTCCAGCTGCCAGTGCATCAATGCCATTATGCACTCAAGGAATAGGGAACTAAACAGGGCTGGGACTACGGGATTGTGAGCTATAATGTGTCCTGGCCTCTGGAAGCCCCTCTGTGATGGGACACGATGGTGCTGTAGGAATCTGGGCATCAATGTTAGCTCACACACAAAGTCAATACTCACCCAAATTCTGCCTATTTCCCTTTCCCGGTGTACAGTCTCCTGTGTAAATGGCTGTAGGTTCCTTTGCAGAAGAGTTCAGGGAATTGACCCAGCATATACTCCCAGGGTGTTCCAGGGTTCTTCCTCCTAGGGATATGGACTCCCCTCCTCTGTCATTGGGATCTGAATCTGAAAGTTAGGTGAGGTCTAGGCATTGAGAACGGATTATGACTTTGTCTTGGATCAAACACCCTCAGCCTCCTGCTCCTCAATTCTTGCTTTCTTTTCATAGATATCAAGCAGCGCCCTTGCTGGCTGTCCTTCTGTTCTGAACCTGGGACACTGCCCTCTGTTAACCTTCCCCACACTCCCTGCAGGTCAAGCACAACCTTGCCTGCTCTGTTGGGGTTGTCATGGTAACTGTGACCTCTGACTTTTGCAGATCACTGCCACCACTTGATCTAGCTGAAGTAGTTCTAGCTGGAAGAATAGAGAATTAAAAGAAATCTTTGTGAAGCCACCACTCAGGTTTGTCAATTTGTAACATTTTAATATTATTGGCTATATGTAGTATACATAGAAAATAATAGAAATATATGCAGATAGCCCTGATTTTCCACAGTTCTGTTATGTATGTGTTTCAGTCGATACTGTACTGAGTAAAGCAAGGACTGCCAGTGGGGAGTGGCGGATGTCTTGAATTTGGTGAATGCCTTTATATTGTTACAAAGTTTTTTAAATCCCTTTGTTTTACATGATTTTAGACTTTGTATAAATTGTTTTTTGTTGAATGTATCATTCTGTGGCTTGCTTTATCATTTAATATGGTTTATGAGGTGAACCCACACCCATAGAAACAGTTACTTTGTTTTCAGTTCTGGATAGTATTCATGGGAGGAATATCCCACAATTTATCTCTTCTGTCCGCGACCTTTAGCTTGTTTCTGTTACAGACACTGCCACAATGAACATCCTGGGTCATCTCTCTCTGGTCCCCTGTGTGAGTTCCCCAAGATATGGATGTAGGAATGGGATTACTGTGCTTTTACCATGTGGTGTTATAGGATGTCAAATTGTTCTCTGAAGAGGTTGTATCAGCTCCCCCCTTTAAAATCTTCTTTGACATTTTACAGGTCAAGTTCTCTTCCTCCCCAACTGGCTGCTCCTCCTCAGTCCCCCTTCATTGGCTCCTTTTGCTGTAGATGCTGGAGCACTCTGGGGTGTTACTACCTTCCTAATCACTCCGGTGTCCTCCACTCTCAGGATTTTAAATATCATCTAGACACAGATGGCTCCCAAATATATATCTCTACATATTTCTATAATCAAAAAAATAATGGTACCAAAACAGGTACTCTGATATACTGCAGATGGGCCTGCAAACTGGAAATGTTTTCAGGAAAGGCAGTATGGCTATTTCTGTCCAAATTAAAAATGCATACACCCAGTAGTCCCACTTCTAACAATGTGTCCAAAACACACCTGCATTCCTGAAAAATGACTGTATTCAGAATTATATGTTGCAACCCTGTTTGTAAAAGCAAAAAGAAAAGAAGAAAGAAAATGACAGATAAAAGAAAAAATAATCCAAATGTCTGTCACTAGGGGACTGGTTAAAAAAGCATTGCAAGCTGGGCACAGTAGCATTCACCTGTGAATACACTCTACTCCACTCTGGGTAACATAAGGAGGCCTCCCTACCTTCCTAAGAAAACCCAAACAAGCACTGCATAGCTACACGGCAGAGTCTACAAACATTTAACACAAAAGAAGAAAGACATAGAAAACTCTTGATATTCCCTCATGAAGAAATAAAGCAAGGTGTAGAATAACATATAGAGTCTGCTAAAATTTGTGTGAAAAGGGACAAAGGATATATATGTACACATTTATATTTGCTTGCATATGCATAAAATATATTTGGAAGAATAAGCAAGAAGTTAATATCCTTGGTTGCCTGTTGGGGATGAGACAGGGTAAAAGAGAGACATTTTACCTTTTGAACATTTTGAATTTTGAATTTTGAACTATATCAAGAAATAAAAGATAATTCCTAAGGAGACCAAACAAACCCCCAAAAAATTCAAAATGAAAAACTTTTTAAAAACCAATGGAATTTTTTAACCTTTATCGAAATAAAATTTAAAAATTTTCTAAATATTATGTTATTCCTTTAACGAGGAGGTTTACTGCCATTTTAATTCAGTACGTTGTTTTCTTTTTAATTGCATGATCTTTCTTTACATCTGTCTTTTTTCCATTACAAGGTAAAATAACAGCATGATTAATTAAATGCAGTTTGTTTGGTGAAGGAAATTTTGTTCAAATCTTGGTCTAAGTGGGAAAGGGATTCTAGGGGATCCAGTGCAGCAGTTATGGGTTTCAGTATGCTCACGACGCCCTCCAGTGTTTGTGTGGGCTCATGGATGCCATATCTAGAAAACACTGGAATTCTCAAGCACACGTGACTGAAGCCATTTGCCAAATGTTCAAGGTCCTATTAATGGCCCATCTGAGTACTTGTCATACGCGGTCACCCTATCTTTGGATCAGAAGGTACACTCAGAGCTCCTAGTGTCACATCCCAGGCCCAACCTGCTGAGATTAGTCGAGGAAGGTCTGGAGGTCAGTGTCGTGAGGGGTGGGAAGACTGAGGGTGTGGGGGCCAGTTGTGGAGTGGCGGGAGCCCCAGGTGCTGTATGAAGCCGAGCCTCTGGATCACCCTGTGACCCCACATTTGGTCCCTTCCTGGGTGTCTTCCATTCCCAGGACTCCCAGGAAATAAAATGCTGCAAGATTGGGGTGGGGAGCTGTCCAGGGTGGGTCAGGTGTGGTCTCACTGATCCTACACCTCTGCCTCCCAGCCCACTCCCAGCCCTCTTCTGATATTAGAAACCAACACAGATTGCCTTAGGGTGGTGGTTCTCAAAGTGTGGTCCTGGGGGAAGCAGCATTGGCATCACCTGGGAACTTAGATATGCAATCTTCAGGGCCTGGCCTGGACCTACTGTATCAGAAACTCTGCATTTAACAAGCCCCCAGCAGAATTCTGCTTTTCAAATCAGATCTTTCTCTCTCTCTCTCTCTCTCTCTCTCTCTCTCTCTGTCTCTCTCTCTCTCTCTCTCTCTGTCTCTCTCTCTCTCTCTGTCTCTCTGTTTCAAGTCTCAATATTGAGTAGCTGTGACTTCTGGATAGTCAGGTGTCAGACACCCTTTCTTGCCAGGAGGCACCAGGCTCCTCAATCAGCTTAGTCTCATTCTTGGCCTGGCCCAGGGAAAGATGTTCACTTCCTGGATTCTGAGCAAAGCTCTCCTATCCTGGGTGCCTGCGGGGCTCCCACTTACACCACAAAACAAAGCTCAAATAATATTCTTTTCTTTTATGAGATTTTTGGTATTCCTTCATTAGTCAGAGCTGAAGATCTACATATATGTCTACCAAGCAAGTGTGCATGTCCCACTAGCCAGTTTGTTAGTCTTGCCAATGCACCACAACATAGCAGCCTCTCAGTCTCTCCTTGTGAGGTGTTACCTGGAGTTCTTTGTCTCACCACCAAGAGAATTAAGGAGCATGGATACAAAGGGTGAGGTTGGAGCAAAAGTTTAATAAGGAAAAGAAGAAAGCTCTCCCCCACGGAGAGGGGGCTTGGAAGATGGTTGCCATTTTTACAGCTGAATGCAAGGCTTTTATAAGAAACTGATGAGGGCTGGGTGTCTCATTTGCATAAGGCACGAATTTCCGTTAGCTCCACCCCATCCTCCTAGTGCCCATGCAGGCCCTTAGCTTGAGTTACTCCATATTGCTTTGTTTCCCTGACTGCCCACGTATCGGGGGACAGAATTTTCCATTGCGGGCATGTCTGGGCAAGTCTCCTGTGCAGCCTTTCTTATTTGTGCAGCTGTGGGCATGTCTTAGGCAAGCCCCCCTGTGCAAGTTCCCTTCTCTGTGCCTGCAGGCCGTTCTTTTGTTTGAAATAATTCAACTGAGGACCCACCATAACTGCCCGCCTGACCAGTTTCTTCCTTTTTCCTCTCTCAATTTGTGTTATGATTTCCTTACTGATCTCTGCCTGAGCAAGACTGGGCACGCCTTGAGGGCAAGGAGGGTTTATTTCCTCTTACCTCAGTTCCAGCTCCTCTTAAAACAACGCCCCGCGCACAGTAGGTATTTGATAAATGTTTACCAAACGAAGGGATTGCCTGCAGTGGCTTGGCAGACAGGAAAGCAGAATGAAAACCCACAGGCCAAAAGTGGCTGGGAAAAGATTTTCCAAATCCTAGTGGTGGGCACAGGGCCCACTGAAATTCACTTTTGGAGGCTTCCCATCTGTCTTGTTCTCCTCTCATCAGGGACTTCCATGCCCCTCAAAGCCCACCTAGTCACACACTACCTTTCAGGACCACCTTCCAGATCAGCCAGGTGCTAATCCCACAGACTTCCTGCCTGTGGCTCCAAATGCTCAGCTGAAATTCTGAGGCTAATTTCAGTGGAGTTAGAGGCTTATCCCTTAGGAGTGGCAATGGCTGGCTTTAAGATTCGAGAAGTAGTGTTTACATCTCAGAAGAGAAGACTGCTCCACCAGAAATGCAGAGTTTTGGTATATGCAGGTCCGGGGTCTTCAGGAGATAAAGAATGATAGCTCCAGGAGCGCTGGGACCCCCGTGCAGCCACCAGTCACCACAGCCTAGGCAGGGGTTGGGCTCTCACCTCGGCCCCTCCCCTGCACGCCCTGGATGTGGATGGTCCCCGAGTGTGAACTCGCCTGGACTCTGACCCTGGGTGCTCTTCTCGCTGTTGTGGAGCCTCTGCGGGTGTGGTGCATGCACAGGGGGCTTCACAGGAGACCCGGGGCCCTTTAGAGTCTCAAGGCCAACATTCTTGGAGAATCCATGTCAGGCATTCAGGCTCTCAGGGACTCAGATGCCCAAACTATGAAAATGAGAGAATCTATCCCACTCTCTCAGGTGTGGTGAGATTCATATTATATGACAATCGGTCGTCTACACATTGATCACACTCTCAGTATTGCCTTTATCAGTCGGCCAACGCCTAAAACCCAAAGATGGGTCAGGCATGGTGGAGGAAGAGTTCCTTTCTTACCTTCTGAAGGTGCCATCAACAGGAATTTCTACCCTGTGGAGTCTAGAGGAGACTTTCCTTGAAGCTGAGTTGGGAATGGACATTTGGACTTTTTTTTTTTTTTTTTTTTTGAGACAGAGTTTTGCTCTTATCACCCAGGCTGGAGTGTAGTGGCACGATTTTGGCTCACTGCAAGCTCTGCGTCTCGAGTTCCAGCGATTCTCCTGCCTCAGTCTCCTGAGTAGCTGGAATTACAGACACCCACCACCACATCCAGCTAATTTTTTGTATTTTTAGTAGAGACAGGGTTTTGCTATGTTGGCCAGGCTGGTCTCGAACTCCTCACCTCGTGATCTGCCCGCCTCGGCCTCCCAAAGTGCAGGGATTACAGGCATGAGCCAATGCGCCTGGCCAGACATTTGGACTTCTTTAAAATTTTATTTCAAATTTTTAAAACTTTCTAATAGGTATTTTATCTTCTTAGGAAGTAAAATCTCAAGTACAGAAAATATAAAAAGGTATAAAGAAGCAGAAGGATGGAAACTGCCAGTGTCTCCACTGGGAGGATCGGGATGAAACGTTGCCTGGCAGAGCCTCAGACTTCAGAGGGAAGGGGCCTGGAGCTGTGCTTTGCAGCTGCCCCTGAGTTTCCACTCCTGGTTTTTGTGCATGCGGGTGACTGTGCAGGATGACTTAGTGTCGTCATGCTTACGAGTTATTTTGAATCTTGCTTTTCAAAACTTTATTATCAATACACAACTTTCTATCATATTACAAAATCTTCTTACACACAGCTTTCACCAGCTGTAGGCTGTTTCCAAACAGAGGACCTAGCCACTCTTCTTTTGCATGTTTTTTTCATTATTGTAATTAATATCCTTATACCTAAAGATCTTTCTATATATTGGATTTTGTTTTAAAATCACAGATTTCTCAATAAAAGTTACTGGGTCAAAAGGCATGAAATTTTTTTTTTTTTTGAGACGGAATCTCACTTTGTCACACAGGATGGAGTGCAGTGGCGAGATCTCAGCTCACTGCAACCTCCACCTCCTGGGTTCAAGAGATTCTCCTGCCTCAACCTCCTAAGTAGCTGGGATTACAGGCACACGTCACCACACCTGGCTACTTTTTGTATTTTTAGTAGAGACAGAGTTTCACCATATTGGCCAGGCTGGTCTCGAACTCCTGACCTCATGATCCACCCGCCTCGGCCTCCCAAAGTGCTGGGATTACAGGTGTGAGCCATCATGCCCGGCCGCATGAACATTTTTAAGCCTTCTCATACATATTATCAAATTACTTCTCAAAAGCAGTGTACCGGCTGGGCACAGAGGCTCACGCCTGTAATCCCAGCACTTTGGGAGGCCCAGGCGGGCAGATCACGAGGTCAGGAGATCCAGACCATTCTGGCTAACACAGTGAAACCCCCTCTCTACTAAAAATACAAAAAATTAGCCAAGCGTGGTGGCGGACGCCTGTAATCCCAGCTACTCTGGAGGCTGAGGCAGGAGAATGGTGTAACCCAGGAGGCAGAGCTTGCAGTGAGCCGAGATCATGCCACTGCACTCCAGCCTGGGTGACAGAGCGAGACTCTGTCTCAAAAAAAAAAAAAAAAAAAAAGCAGTGTACCAATTATAATCACCCATTTACTCAACCCATATTTATTGAGCCCCTTCTCTGTCCTTGGATTTCTAGATGCTGGAAATCCAAGTGGTGACTAGACAAGGTCCCTGCCTTGAAGAACATGACAACCAATGAAACAAATGAAAACAATTCTAATACCGGTGATAATTGTTATGGAGAAAATATGCTTGAGCTAGAAGGTTGATGGTGGTGAGGATGGTAGGAGATATAGTCTGTTGATCAAGATGTTCCTGGGAATTTGAACACTGGACGTCTGAGCAGAGACCTGAATGGTGTGAGGGGCCTTTGGATCCCTTTGGATCCCTGGGGAGCAGGTGCACTTGGGGAGTTCCAGTGGGAGGTGCCTGAGACAGGATTGAGCAGTGTTAGTGGAGATGAGTGAGCTGGGCCGAGAGGGGTGGGATGAGGCCAGAGTGGCCAGAAGGATCCTGTGATGAGGGATGAGGGGCTGTAAAACATAGTGAGAGACTGGGGTTTCACTGTGCTAAGAAGGGAAGAGGCTGGCATGTCTGTGGGACGCGGTGGCGAGGATGAGCTCTAATTCCCATTTGAAATGCTCACTCTGCCTATTGTGTGGGTGATGGACAGCGGGTGTGAGAGTCAGCAGGCAGCCCAGCTGGAAGGCCTTCTGGTTTACTATCTTGGAGAGGATGGCCCTGGGGAGGAGGCAGTAGAGGAGTGAGAAGTGATTGGATTTGGGGTTAATACATTTTTAAGATGGTGTTAGCAATAACTCCTTGGAGAACCACACATTTATTTGCTTACTTTAATTCTACAGCAACATTCGAGGTGGCTTACTGCAACAAACCCAGTGTAATAAATACATATGAATTATTTTAAAATCAACACCAAGGAAAATATACATTTTAAAAGATTAAGGCTGGGGTAAAGCTGGAACATTACTAGGCAGGAAGGAACATCTGAAACATTTGCCAAAATAGAATTGACCCTTTACCTAGCCATAGATTTGTTGCCTCATGATTTCATTGCATCTGAGCACCAGGGAGGGGGGTGGCAGTTCAGGTCACCAGTCCCTTGTTTCCTGATTCAGGAACAGTGTCCTGTTCTACACTTACAGTCAAAGCAAATTACATCATTATAAGATGTTTAATGATGTAGTCAAAGTCCACAGAGTCAGCAAGCAAGTGTAAAAACCTCAGGAGTCTAAGGACAGTCTACATTTCTCCCCAGAAATGGCCTCCCTATGTACTGTTGAAGGGAGAGGGTCCTTTCAAGGGGCTCCAAGACGCAGGAGCAACTGGGCTGCAGCTCAAAATAAAGATGTCCTTTCTACCTGCAGGTTCCACGAAGCCTCACAGGCAACTTTGGTGATCTCACCTGAGCTAGGAATTCGGTTTTTTGATGTGGGTTCTCTTTGAGCCATTGTGTGAGCTTTAAAATGTGATGTGGAGATTTTGCTATACTGGTGTTTCCTTGCTGGAATTTGACATCCATGGTGGCTCTGGCTTCCCTGTCTGGTCCCAGGAGGAAATGGAGTGTCCTGCACTTTTTTTCAGCTTCGCTTTGTGTAGGAAGGATCAGGAGACCTGGAGTCAGGGGTTCCTCCAATCTCACTCTCCTCCATAAAACAGTGTCTCTTAAGCTTTCTGGGGGTGAGGGCCTTGACACCGTGCTGTTCTGATGAATATAACTGTCCCAGCTCCTGAAATAAAAGCACAGGTGCACAAAATACCGACTGTTGCAAGCAATGCCTAGGTGGGGATGTTTCCTAGGCGCCAGGTTTAGCACTTTGACTTTCTATGTACACACACAGGGGCCAGGCATTGTGGTTTATGCCTGTAATCTCAGCACTTTGGGAGGCTGAGGCATGAGAATTGTTTGAAGCCAGAAGTTCAAGACCAGCATGGGTAACAAAGCAAGACCCAGTCTCTACAAAAAAAAAAAAAAAAAGGGTATATATATACACAAACACACACACACACACACACACACACACACACACACACACTGGGTGTGGTGGCTCCAGTCTGTAGTCCCAGCTACTCGAGAAGCTGAGGTGGGAGGATTGCCTGAGTCCAGGAGTTGGAGCCTGCAGTAAGCTGTGATCAGGACACTGCAGACTGTCAGAGTGAGACCCTGTCTCAAAAACAAACAAACAAAACAAAAATACATACACACACACAGCCAGAGCCAGCGCTGAAGGAGAGGCTGGCCTCAGGGGCGGGGTCACAGGCGTTTCTCAGGTCCTTCTCGTGGTCTTTGTCTCTTTTTCCTGGAGGTGGGGGACTCTGTACTTCATGAGGAGAAGTTGTCTGAAGAAGGTGGGAGATACTCAGGAGCAGGGTCCAGAGAGGGAAAAGGATGAGGAAGTGGAGACAAAGCAGAGGGGGCGGGACAAGAGGAGAGCACGCAAGGAATGGGGACGGGGAGGACCTTCCAGCTGTCAGAAAGGTCACCCGCAGAATTTGGCTCTTGGTTTTTGTGCTTTATCAGGATGGATATGGGGACCGAGCCGGCGTGGGAGATAAGGAGTCTACTTTGCAAAGGACACGTGTGAGTCTCCTCCTAGTTTGAACTCATGAGTAGCAGCTAACAGCCAGGACCCTTGTGTCGGGCACGTGAGGCCCCTTTGCAACCAGGGCGTTTTCTGCACCCCACCGGCCACCCCTCCTGGGACCACGCTGGTTCCCTCCAACCCTAACAGGGAGAGAAGGAAGGAGAGGTCTGGAGGGTTTGGGTCCTCCCTTGTGCTCCTTCTTCCTCTGCCATTTATTCCCTGAGTGTCCTTGCCTTTACTCCGCTACCTGGACCCCACTGCAGTAATGCACACTGGCCTGGACTCCCTTTGTAACCACCAAGTGGGTTCATCTTGCCGGCTACCTAGACGAAGCCGATTTATCAAGACAGGAGAATTGCAATAGAGAAAGAGTAATTCATGCAGAGCCAGTTGTGCAGGAGACCAGAGTTTTATTACTCAAATCAGTCTCCCCGAAAACTCTGATCAGTTTTTAAGGATAATTTGGTGGATGGGGGGCCAGTGAATCGGGAGTGCTGACTGGTTGGCTCCAGTATGAAATCATAGTGAGTGGAGGCTGTTCTCTTAGGCTGAGTCAGTTCCTGAGTGGGGGCCACAGGACTGGTTGGCAGGTCCAGATGGGGCCCTCCAGTTGTTAAAAATACAAAAACCTGAAAAGACATCTCAAAAGGCCACTCTGAGGTTCACAATAGTGATGTTACCTTCAAGAGTAACTGGAGAAGTTGCAAATCTTATGACCTCCGGAATAATGGCTGGTAATATTCAGAATTCCAGCTCCTCTCATCCTAACTTAATGGCCGGTGGCCTTTCTTCGTTTTACAAGAACAGTTTCCCTTTAAACTATAAACTAAATTCCTTCCCAAGCCTAGTTCAGCCTACGCCTAGAAATGAAGAAGGGCAGTTTAGCGGTTGGAAGCAAGATGGGGTCAGTTAGGTTTGATGTCTTTCGCTGTCATCATTTCCTTAGTTATAATTTTGCAAAGGCGGTTTCACCTTGGCTTCAGACCCACCCATGCAGTAACACTGTGCCCTGTCCTTCCAATCACTGCCACTAGGTGGAAGCAGAGCGTGCATCGCCCAGATGGGCTAGATTCTCACAGGCTCACTGCTAGAACGAATATTCTTGAGACTTTAGATCTGAAAGTCAGCCTGATTTCTGAAAGCCTTGGACCGTTTCCAAAATCAAATCAATACTCCAGGAACAAGATCTGCCTCGACTTTGCCTCTACCCAAGGACGCTATGGCAACGCAGTTTTCAAACGTGCTTTGAGAATAAATGGAACAGGGTCCCCTGTGTCCCCACTCATTTGCGTTTTCCTTTTTATTACAGCCAACCGCTTTTGTAAATATTGTTACACATCTCTCTATTCCACTGAAAACATCTCTTTCAAATGCACTTTAAGAAAGATTCAATGCCATGAAAATATGAAGGATCCTCTTGAAAGAGAGTTTCTGGTGGTGGGTTTTAATGAACATTTTCGTTTTTAAAACTCTGTAACTATTTCGTTGTGGGGCTTAGCTTCATATTTTCAAACTGAAATATTCTCTTCCTTAACCTCCACATAAATCCAAGTTTATAATTTTTATTATTTTAAAATTTTATTTATTTTTCTGTTTTGGGGACAGGGTCTCCTCCTGTCACTCAGGCTGGAGTGCAATGGCACAATCATAGCTCACTGCAGCCTGGAACTCCTGGGCTTAAGCAATCCTCCTGCCTTCAATTCCCAAAGAGCTGGGATTATAGTCATGAACCACTGCAATCCACCCAAATCCAAGTTTACACTAAAAGATAAAATTCCAACATTGTAGGGGATTGGTCAGGTGGTGGGAATAATTATAAAGATAAAGTTATAGGAAATAGACACAAACCTTCTTGGAAGGTGGAAAGTTTTGCAAAAGCCTCAGGATAGGGTTATAGCTGAAAGCAGCCTAATCCCCTTACCTTGAGTTAATAGCTTCGAGTAAGTACAAAGACATGTAAGAGAGTTTATCTAAAGAGCATGTTTACCTTTGATCATTTGTAGGACTGCTCTCTCCGGGGGACTGCGACCAGATTAATTACCCACAGGTGTGTTGACTCAAAGCCTTTGTCATTAAATCTGTGCTGAATAAAGGCCCACAGGGCCAGATAGTCAGGGCACGCAGCTGCCACAACCCTTTCTGTGAGTGGCCTGGCCCTCTGGTGCACTCTTTCACTGAATATCGGTGTCTGAGTACATTATTCATCCATCGTGCAGCCTGGGTCTGCCGGTCAGACCCTGGCACAACATTTAAGAGGAAATGAAAGTCACAAAGTTATCCCAGTCTCTGGAGTCACTGTCAAAACTTTGGTGAGGAATCTTCCAGGTTTTCCCCTACTTCAAATATATATTAATATTATGTAAGTGATATTAGTGGCATTTTCGCCCAGGCTGGAATGCAGTGGCATGATCTCGGCTCACTCTAACCTCTACCTCCCAGATTCAAGCGATTCTCCTGCCTCAGCCTCCCGAACAGCTGGAACTACAGGCACCCACCACCACGCCCGGCTAATTTTTGCATTTTCAGTAGAGACAGGGTTTCACCATGTTGGCCAGGCTGATCTTGAACTTCTGACCTCAGGTTATCTGCCTGCCATAGCCTCCCAAAGTTCTGGGATTACAGGCATGAGCCACTGTGCCCAGCCTCCTTAACCTTTTAAAAAAGGTTAAAAGTATGCTGGGCACATCTTTTCATAGCAATACTTAAAATTGCTCTTACTCTTTTTAATGACAACATAGAATTTTATTGTGTAGCTGTTCTTTGGGAGACGATTGAAATCTTCTTTATCTTCACTGTGGTAGTGGAGATGTGGGTGTGTACAACAGCTAAAATTCAACAAGTTGAACATTTTAAATAGATGCAGTTTATTGCATGCAAAGTATGTCCCAATAAGATGATTTAAAAATATTATCCTCTTTGAGACTTGTACTTTGCTTATGTGAAACAAAACAAAACAAAAACCCTGTTCTTGTGCCCAGGAGACACACCCTGACTCATCTGGAGGTAGAGGGTCATGCTGTCTGCAACTTACCCTCACAGGCTCTGAAATAACAATAATAGCAGCATATTTACAGATTTAGAGAGAGAGAAATTTGTGGTAAAAATGTTCATAAGTAAAACTAGATAAAGGGCAAAAATAAAAGAAATAATGAAACTACGTCTTTTAAATTTTCTGTCTCCGGCCGGGTGCGGTGGCTCACGCCTGTAATCCCAGCACTTTGAGAGGCCGAGGCAGGCAGATCACGAGGTCAGGAGATCGAGACCATCCTGGCTAACACAGTGAAACCCCGTCTCTACTAAAAATACAAAAAATTAGTCGGGCGTGGTGGCAGGAGCCTGTAGTCCCAGCTACTCCAGAGGCTGAGGCAGCAGAATGCCCTGAACCCGGGAGGCGGAGCTTGCAGTGAGCCAAGATCGCGCCACTGCACTCCAGCCTGGGCGACAGAGCAAGACTCCGTCTCAAAAAAAAAAAAACAAAAACTCTCCTTTACTTTTTCTCTCCCCTTTTATTCCTATCTCTTCCCTCATTTCTTCAACACGTCCCCCCATCCTTCCCTCTTTTCTCCATTCTCTGCATTTGATCCCCGGTATATTCCAGCCTCCAGGCCAACAAACTTCTCCGCGTCCGCCGGGAGCAGGTCAGGGAAGGGACGCGAGGCGGCGCTGTCACCGCATTCTGAGCGCCGCAGCTCCCTGGGCCCCTTGTATCATTTCAGTGAAGGTCACTCCAGTCTTTCATGGAGGCCAAACTAAGGGTGTAAATTAGGATCCTCACTGAAGTGGCGGGACCCTAAGAGGCTTTTTCCTGGCCCCTTAGTTGTGGGTTTTCCTGCGGGCGGCGCAGCCGGTTCCCATCAGAACCGCCCAGAGGCGGACGCTGCCTTCCTGGGGTGACGGAGCAGCAGGAAGCGTTTTCGGATCCTGGAATACGTGGGCGGCCCGTGGGAGGGGCTGAGGCGCAGTTTCCTACTCACCCGGATCAGAATCCTCCGCGGTGCTGTTTCAAGAGAGCCGGATTCCAGATCGCGCTCCAGCCCGGACTCGGAATTCCTGCCCTGCGGGTCTGCATTTTCATAACGGGCAGGTGTGAGTGCCCTGCAGCTGGAGACCAGAAGCCTGAAGGCAGCTCGGCCCTCCCCAGCCCACAGCGCCGTTATTCCGTTTCTATATCAGTAAACACATTTCATTTTCCGTAGACCAGGGCGGGGTGACGGGTGATCCCAGTCCTCGCAGTGAATTCCGGGCAGCAAAATTCAAAACACATGCGGGCAAGGCCGGGCACGGTGGTTCACGCCTGCAATCCCAGCACTTTGGGAGGTCGAGGCGGGCGATCACCTGAGGTCGGGAGCTCGAGACCAACCTGACCAACATGGGGAAATCCCGTCTCTACTAAAAATATAAAATTAGACGGGCTTGGTGGTGAATGCCTGTAATCCCAGCTAGTCGGGAGGCTGAGGCAGGAGAATCGCTTAAACCTTGGAGGCGGAGGTTGCGGTGAGCCGAGATCGCGCCACTGCACTTCAGCCTGGGCAACAAGAGGGAAAACTCCGTCGCAAAAACTTTCGGGGGCGGAGCGGAGCCCCGCCCTGGGTTATGTAAGCGACCGCGCTGGGCCGTTTCTCTTTCTTTTCCGGACCCTGCAGTGGCGCCTAAAGTCTGAGAGAGGGAAGTCGCCTCTGTGCTGGTGAGTGCATGGGGTATAAGGCAAGTGCTGAGGGAGAAAACGTAGTTAATGGGGTAGAGCAGACGGGGTTGGAGGTGGGGTGGAGGGGGAGAGCTTTGGACAGAAGACCTGGGAGGCTTGGTGGGGGAGGGGCGCCCAGGCCTGGGCACTAAGAAACAACTCCCCTGGAGCTCAAGACCATCTCGGCCTCCCCTAGCCCAAGAGAGGACTGGCTTCATGACTCCCTGAAACCATTTCTAAATGCCTTAGAACAAACCTTGCATATTCATTATTGTTATTGAACTATTAAAAGTCTTTTTTGGGGGCGAGCTGAATCAGATCCTTTGCTGGAGCTGGCACACGGAGGAAGTCCTGGAGGGAGGGTAGACACCGTGGAGGTAAGGGCTTGGGACCTGTGTCAGGAGAGCTAGGTCCATCTCCCTCTCAGTCTCTCACTAGGCTTATGATCTTTAGCAGTGAAAATAATCTCTCTAAGGTGGGGAAAGGACCCCGGTCCCTGCTGTGCTCAATAAATTATGAGGATCAAAA
The DNA here is from genome assembly GCF_000001405.40 of Homo sapiens. Classification (NCBI taxonomy): domain Eukaryota; kingdom Metazoa; phylum Chordata; class Mammalia; order Primates; family Hominidae; genus Homo; species Homo sapiens. The sequence goes on from NT_167246.2 coordinate 2,709,885, forward strand.
TAAATTATCAGTGAATGTGAATGGGAAAACTAAGAAATTGTTAAAATTCTCGAATACATTACATTTTCATCCACAGAAAAGTGTAGGCTAGGGATCATGGGGGAATAGTTAGTAATGACAGGGATAGTTGAACTTAAAAAAAAAGTTTGTGAGGCTGACAAAGAAGAAACGGACACATTTCCTGATCTTGGAGGGTTCATAGGGTAGAAGATGGTAGATGACAGCTGGGTGTGGTGGCACTCGCCTGTAGTCCCAGCTACTCAAGAGGCTGTGGTGGGAGGATTGCTTGAGCCCAGGCATTCAAGGCTGCAGTGAGCTATAATCATGCCACTGCATTCCAACTGAGTGACACAGCAAGACTCCTCTCTTAAAAAAAAAAAAAATTCATGGCAGGGCACAATGAGTACTATCAGGAAGGTTCAAACCACGGGCTAAATCAGTAGTTCTAAAACTTGACTACACATCGGAATCACCTAGGGAACTTTAAAAGATACTAAGATTTAGGTCCAACCTGGGTTTACTGATTTAACAACCTAGGTTGTGGCTGTGGCCTGGGAACATGGATATTAAAAACTCTCCAGGTGGTTCTACGCAGTGGCTAGGTTTGATGACCTCTGCCTAGATGTCCCAACGACTAAGAGATGTGCGTTGGGGACAAGGCAATTCTCTTAGTAGAAAGAGGCTTTCGGGACAGCATTCTTATTATTGAGAATTGAGAATTCATATGCCACACAATTTATCCTTTTAAAGTGTGCAGCTCAGTGGCTTCTAGCGTAATCACAAGGTTGTGCCACCGTCACCACTGTCTACCCTGGAAGATTTTTTTTCCTTTTTTTCTTTTTTCTTTTCTTTTTATTTTAAAGGCTAGTCAAGTGAAACAGTGGGAGTGAAGAAGAAACAAAGACATCTATAACTGGTTGTGATCAATTAGTTGTACACACTGCACTCAGACCAGCCTGGGAAGATTTTAAGGATATGGTGTGGTCTGATGGGTTCCAAGGCAGAGGTTACAATAGCCTGGAAGAGGGAGACTGCTTAGGCAGTGGCATCCTGGTGGGATAGGGTGAGGAGATCCCAGAGCCCACGTTTACTGCAACCCTGGGGAGATGTCACCAGAGAAATGGGGGTGGTGCCAGACAGCAGATTGTGGCAGCTGAGGTTTTCCACGGTAGAGTAGAAGCATCCATCATGTGTGACATTCAGCAGATGGGGCGCTGTGGGTGGCTTGGAGCACTCTGGTTGTAACTGAGGCAGGCACCGTGTTTAGGAAGGCTGTGCAGTAATCTAGGCTGAAGGGAGGGGAAAGCCTAGACTAAGATTGTGGCTGTGGGATTGAAATAGCGTTGAAGGAGCTGACTTTGACTCCCGGAGATGATGGGGAAAGAGGAAATCAGAAGGGACCAAGGATGGTGATGTTCTTAAGAGAAACTGAGGAGGAAGAGAGGATGATATGGTGGCAGACGTATAGAGAGTCTTTGTAGATCTCTCACATTGGAGGGGACTATGGTCGGAGGTACAGATGTCCTAAGGCAGGCTGGAAAAGGGAGTCTGGAGAGAGCTTGGTGTTGTAGTGAACCACAGGGAGCCGCCTCCTTGGCCCTGTGATCACCCAGGGACTGAATAGAGAGGCGGCCCTGGGAGACTTCAGACACTTAGAGGATATAAGGGGGTGAAAGGGGGGCCTGGCTTTGAGTCAAAGGGAGGAGAAGGAGATTATAAAGCTGAAACGTCTAAGAGAGTTTGTGGTCTGAGCGGTTCTACTGCGGCAGGTGCTTCTGAGAGGCAGAGGTGGCTGAGATCTGGAAACAGGTCTGCAAATCTGGTCACTGGTCTCATTGCCAGTAACGCTGTGCGCGGTTGAGGGAGTGTGTTGGGAGAATAGCCACGCGTTGTCTGTCCTGGAAGGAACAAGCCAGTGAGAGCCGGTTTAATGGGGCGGCCGGCGAAAGGGGCTTGGTGAGGCCCGCGCTCCTCGGGGTGGGGGCGCGGGGATGGGTGGTCGCGATGCCGGGAGGGCAGGCAGGGCCCTGGCCGTGCTTATGAAGTTGGAGCTGTACTCTCAGCTACTCGAAGCTGGTCCCTGCTTTAGGCTGCGCTCCCGCGTGCTCCCCATTTTCTGGGCCCCAGGTCCCGCCTTCTAAATCTCCCCAGGTCTCCAGCCCACTGGAATTTTCTCTTCCAAGCGTGGCCCCGCCCTCTCCGCTCGTGATTGGCCCTAAGTTCCGGGCCCCAGTTTCATTGGATGAGCGGTCGGGGGACCGGGCCAGGTGACTAAGTTTCCGCGGCGCCTTCTCCCCGGCCACTGCTTGAGCCGCTGAGAGGGTGGCGACGTCGGGGCCATGGGGCTGGGCCCGGTCTTCCTGCTTCTGGCTGGCATCTTCCCTTTTGCACCTCCGGGAGCTGCTGCTGGTGAGTGGCGTTCCTGGCGGTCCTCGGCGGAGCGGGAGCAGCGGGACGTTTCCGGGGGTCGGGTGGGTAGCGGCGAGCGCTGTGCGGTCAGGGCGGGGCTCCTGTGCCCTGTCGGTGGCGCAGGGAGCTGGACGCGGCCCGTTACCGCCACACTTCAGCCCTGCTTCCCCGTCACTTTTCAGTCCTCCTCGGGATCGCGCATCACCTGCACTTTCTGGTCTCCTCCTGCTCTTTCTCTCCTCGCGTCTCCTCCGCTTCCTCTCACTTTTCGGACAAACCAGTCCTTCTGAGGCCCATGGGTTCCCGGGCTGCCTCCGGGGCTGCTCCTGTGAATGGCATTCGAGTGCCCTTCCAGCGCGGCCACTGAAGCAGCCACAACCCCCGGTGCTCGGGGCGGCTCTCAGGTCCCTGAAGTCCTGTCCTCTCCCGGAGCCGACGTGTTCTCAGCTCCTGGGCCGCAGCTCCTGGAGTAGGGGCCCTCCTTTCTCGGGACCCGGAGCTGGTGCTTCCTGCTGCTGTGGGGACTGTGGGGGGTCCTGACTCTCAAGCTGAGGGGTTGGAGTCTGCAGGCTCCGGGCAGAGGATTCTTCCTGCGACTTCTCTCATCCCCAGCTCATTCTCCCCTCGCCTCTGGCTCCGAGGGTCCTCTCCTCTCTCTCATCCCACCCCTACTAATGACCAGTGATCTAAGGACACCAGATTCCCTCTCACCTCCTCCCTGCCCATCTCAGGGCCCGCTGAGTCCTTTTGCCCTCCCAGCTCCCTGCTACCCCTTCCTGTGTGCTGTTCTCTGATCCATTTCTAGGGTGTCCTCTGCCCTCATCCCCTGTCCCCGCCACCGAAGGTCCCTCCTGCACCCCTTATGGGCCTTTCCTACAAGCAGCCTTCACCCAGTGCTGCCCCTATGCCTCCCCGTTCCCAAATGTCCCTGACTCTAACTTTCTGGTGCTGCCTTTTATCCGGGGGGGTCTTCCCTCCATCCCACTCCCCTCCAGACCCCCAAGGGGAACCCTGATGCTAATGGCAGTTGGGCCTTAGGCAGGGCGCAGGGCAGCGCAGATGCCCCCTCCCCTCCAGTGCAGATGCCTGCTCTGGACCCTGCCTCATTGTGGCCCCTTCCCCACTCCTTCATCCTCAGCCTCACCCTCTTGAGGACCCCACCCTCCAGCCCACAGGTGCTGGACTATCCCTCCCTGGTCCCTCCGCCCCTCTCCACCTTGGGACCTTGTGCTGCTCCTATCTCTTGCCCAGCTGCCTTGGGCCCTCAGCACGTTCTCATCTTTCAGTGGGAAAGTGGGAGTGCTGGAGCATATGACAGTGCTGAGCATCTTTCCCAAGCCCCACCCTCCCCCAGAGCACCCTCCCCTCCTGTCCTCACCCTACCCCAAGTTCTCCCACAGTCACTCCTGCCCCATGCTCATGCCGCCCTCCAGTTCTTGCTCTGCCCATCTCCCCTCCCCAACCCAGACCTAAAACAGGCTGTTGGGCCAACTGTTCCTTGACCTTCCTTCTTTTCTTTTGGTTCCTTGACCCCAGTGGGCTCTCACTCCCCACACCGCATATCTAAAATCTGTTTTGCCTGCTCTTGGGGTGCCACTGCTCCCCCTCCAGCATTACTCCTTTTGGCAGGTCCTTCCTCAGGCTGAGAATCTCCCCCTCTACCTTGGTTTTCTCTCTCTGGCCAGCACCCCCACCCCTTGCTTTGTTTTTAATTTTTAACTTTTGTTTGGGTACGTAGTAGATATATATGTATATATTTATGGGGTACATGGGATATTTTCACACAGGCCTACAATATGTAATAATCACATCAGGGTAAATGGGTTATATCACAACAAGCATTTATCCTTTCTTTGTGCTACAAACAATCCCATTATGCTCTTTCAGTTATTTTTAAATGTACAATAAATTATTGTTGACTGTACTCACCCTGCTGTGCTATCTACTAGATCTTATTCATTCTAATTATATTTTTGTACCCATTATTAACCATCCCTGCTCCCCCACTCCCCACTACCCTTCTCAGCCTCTGGTAATCATCATTCTATTGTCTCTCCCCATGAGGTCCATTGTTTTAAATTTTGGCTGCCACAAATAAGTGAGAACATGCAAAGTTTGTCTGTCTGGGCCTGGGGCTTATTTCACTTCACAGGATGACCTCCAGTTCTTTGCAAATGACACGATGGCTGAATAGTTCTCCACATACACATGTACACCACATTTTCTTTATCCATGCGTCTGTTGATGGACACTTAGATTGCTTGCAGATCTTGGCTACTTTGAATAGTGCTGCAATAAACATGGAAAAGTAGATAGCTCTTTAATATACCAATTTCCTTTCTTTGGAGTATATGCCTAACAGTGGGAGTGCTGGAGCATATGACAGCTCTATTGTATTTTTAGTTTTTGGAAGAACCTCCACATTGTTTCCCATAGTGGTTGTACTAGTTTACGTTCCCACCAACAGTGTACATCCTCACCAGCATTCCTTATTTCTACATCCTCGCCAGCATTCCTTATTGCCTGTCTTCTGGATAAAAGCCAGTTTATCTGGGGTGGGATGTTATCTCGTAGGAGTTTTGATTTGCCTTCATCTGTTGACGAATGATGTTGAGCACCTTTTCATATACCTGTTTGCCATTTATATGTCTTCTTTTGAGAAATGACTATTCAGATCTTTTCTCATTTTTAAATTGGATTATTAGATTTTTTTTTCCTATAGTTGTTCGAGCTCCTTATATGTTTCAGTTACTGATCCTTTGTCAGATGAATAGTTTGAAAATCTTTTCTCCCATTCTTGGATGGTCTCTTCATTTTGTTTATTGTTTCCTTTGCTGTGCAGAAGCCTTTTTACTTGATATGATCCCATTTATGCAATTTTACTTTGGTTACCTGTGCTTGTGGGGTATTACTTTAAAAATCTTTGCCCAGTCCAATATCCTAGAGAGTTTCCCCAATGTTTTCTTGTATAGTTTCATAGTTTGAGGTCATAGATTTACATCTTTAATCCACTTTGATTTGATTTTTGTATATGGTGAAAGACAGGGTCTAGTTTCATTCTTCTGCATAAGGATATCTAGTTTCCCCAGCACCATTTTTGAAGAGACTCTCCTTTGCCAATGTGTGTTCTTGGTACCTTTGTTGGAAATGAGTTTACTGTAGATGTATGGAATTGTTTCTGGGTTCTCTATTCTGTTTCATTGCTCTGTGTGTCTGTTTTTATGCCAGTATCATGCTGTTTTGGTTACTGTAGCTCTGTAGTATAATTTGAAGTCAGATAATGTGATTCCTCTAGTTTTGTTCATTTTGCTCAGGATAGCTTTATCTATTCTGGTTTTTTTGTGGTTCCATATGCATTTTAGGATTATTTTTATTATTTCTGTGAAGAATGTCATTAGTGTTTTGATAGGGATTGCATTGAATCTGTAGATTACTTTGGGTAGTATGGATATTTCAACAAAACTGATTCTTCCAATCCATGAACGTGGACTATCTTTTCCATTTTTTGTGTCCTTCAATTTTTTGCATCAGTGTTTTTTGTTTTTGGTTTTTGAGATGGAGTTTCACTCTTGTTGCCCAGGCTAGAATGCAAGGGTGTGATCTTGGCTCACCGCAACCTCCGCCTCCCAGGTTCAAGCAATTCTTCTGCCTCAGCCTCCCAAGTAGCTGGGATTACAGGCATGTGCCACTGTGCCTGGCTAATTTTCTATTTTTATTAGAGATGGGGTTTCTCTATGTTGGCCAGGCTAGTCTTGAACTCCTGACCTCAGGTGATCCACCTGCCTCGGCCTCCCAAAGTGCTGGGATTACAGGCATGAGCCACCACGCCCAGCCACATCACTGTTTTATAGTTTTATTGGAGAGGTCTTTCACTTCTTCAGTTAGGTTTATTCCTCAGTATTTTATTTTATTTGTAGCTATTGTAAATGGGATTCGTTTCTTGATTTCTTTTTCAGATTATTTGCTGTTAGCACTGATTTTTGCATGTTGATTTTGTATCCTGCAACTTTACTGAATTTGTTCTTCAGTTCTAATGGTTTTTTGGTGGAGTCTTTAGGTTTTTCCAAATATCAGACCACATGATCTGCAAACAAGGATAATTTGACTTCTTCTTTTCCAGTTTTAATGCCCTTTCTTTCTTTCTCCTGTCTGATTGCTCTAGTTAGGATCTGCAGTACTGTGTTGCATAACTGTGGTAAAATTAGTCATCCTTGTCTTATTCCAGATCTTAGAGAAAAGGCTTTCAGTTTTCCCCCATTCAGTATGTTACTAGCTGTGAGTTTGTCATATATGGCTTTTATTATATTGAGGTCTGTTCCTTGTATACTTAGTTTTTTGAGAGTTTTTATCATGAAGGGATGTTGAATTTATCAAATGCTTTTTCAGTATCAATTGAATGATACTGGCTTTTGTCCTTTATTCTGTTGATATGACGTATTACATTGATTGATTTGTGTATGTTAAATCATCCTTGCATACCTGGAATACATTCCACTTGCTCATAAAGAATGATCTTTTTTAATGTATTGTTGAATGTGGTTTGCTAGTATTTCCTTGACGATTTTTGCATCGGTGTTCATCAGGGATATAGGCCTGTAGTTTTCTTTTTTATGATGTGTCTTTGCCTGGTTTTTGTATCAGGATATTCCTGGCTTTGTAAAATGAGTTTGGAAGTATTCCCTCCTCCTCTATTTTTCAGAACAGTTTGAATAGGACTGACATATGTCGTTCTTTAAAAGTTTAATTGTGGTAAATTATACATTACATAAATTTTACTGTTTTAACCACTTTTAAGTGTATACTCGGTGGCATTAGATACATTCACATTTTTGTGCAACCCAAAACTCTGTGCCCATTAATCGGTAACTCCCCATTCCTCCCTACCTCTGGCCCCTGGTAACCACCATTCTACTTTTTGTTTCTATGAATTTGACCACTCTAGGTACCTCATTTAAGCAGAATCATGTAATGTTTGTCTTTTTGTTTCTGGCTTATTTCACTTATAATATTTTTGAGGTTCGGTGGGCACAGTGGCTCACGCCTGGATTTCCAGCACTTTGGGAGGTTGAAGCAGGTGGATCACCTGAGTTTCGGAGTTCGAAACCAGCCTGGCCAACATGGTGAAACCCCATCTCTACTAAAAATAATAAAAGTTAGCCGGGCGTGATGGCGGGTGCCTGTAATCCCAACTACTTGGGAGGCTGAGGCAGGAGAATCGCTTGAATCCGGGAAGTGGAGGTTGCAGTGAGCTGAGATCAGGCCACTGCACTCCAGCCTGGGCAACAAGAGTGAAATTCCATCTCCAAAAAAAAAATAAAACAATAATAATAATAATATTTTTGAGGTTCATCCAAGTTGTAGTATGGGTCAGAATTTCATTCCTTTTAAGGATGGATAATACTCATTATATGTATGTACCACATCTTGGTTATCCATCCCTCAGACAACGGACACTTGGGTTACTTCTACCTTTTGGATATTGGCAAATATTTCATTTCCTTTGGGTATATATTTATTTCCTTTGGGTATTTCTTTTGGGTATATATCCAGAAATAGAAGCAGTACACAGGGGCTTCATTTTCTCTGTCTCTTTGCCAACCTTGCTCTGTGTGTGTGTGTATGTGTGTGTGTAGGTGTGTGATAACAGCCATCCTGATTGGTTTCAGGTGGCATCTCATTGTGGTTTGGATTTACATTTTCCTAATGAGTGCTGATATTGAGCATCTTTTCATGTGTTTGTTGATCATTTGTAATTTTCTTTGAAGAATTGGCCATTTAAGTCTTTTGCCCATTTTTTCCCCCACATAGCTTCTCTTATCAGATATATGACTTGCAATATTTATTTCATTTCGGGGTTGATTGCTTTTTCACTCTGATTGTGCCCTTTGATGCATAGATGTTTTGAATTTTCATCAGTCTACTTTGTCAGTTCTTTCTATTCTATCTGTGCTTTGGTGTCATATCCATGAAAGCACTGTCAAATCCTATGTCATGAACATTATCCCCAATGTTTGCTTCTAAGAAATTTTTAGGTTTTAGTTCTTGAGTGTAGAGTTTAGGTCTTTGATTCATTTTGAGTTAATTTTTGTATATAGTGCAAATTAAGGGTCCAATTTTATTTTAACACCCCCTGCCCCCAGAACTATTTGCTGAAAAGATCAACTGACTCTTTGTCACCTGCTCACCCCAGTGGACACTAGCTGTTCCATCCAATTGCTGTCCTGGGGCCTTGTCATGCCACTCTTCCACTTTGAACCCAAGCCCACATCATTGCTCCCCTCTGGGATACTGACCCCACTATAAACTTCTCTGGGGCTACAACCTTCCTACCCTTTGTGCCTCATGACCACCCCCTCCCTTGTCCCCGCCATGCCCATGATGAGTCTCTTCTCGAGGCAGCTCCCCTTGCCTCCATCTCACCCTCACCTATGCACCACAGCCACACTGGACATGGGTCCCTCTGAGCCTGAGTCCCTTCCCATTCCCACCATCCCCTCTGGCAAGACCTTCCTTCCACCACCTTCATGCTCCTCCCTTGCCCCTGCAGGGCAGCCTCTCCCCTTGGCCCCTATTCCCTTAGGGGGCTTGTGGCCACCCAGTCCTTGCACCTGGCCTACAAGTTTGCCATCTTCATTCCCCCTTCTTCTGTTCATCAGCCCCCTCCTCTATCCTCCCACCCTCACAGTTTTCTTTGTATATGAAATCCTCGTTCTTGTCCCTTTGCCCGTGTGCATTTCCTGCCTCAGGAAGGTTGGGACAGCAGACCTGTGTGTTAAACATCAATGTGAAGTTACTTCCAGGAAGAAGTTTCACCTATGATTTCCTCTTCCCCAGAGCCCCACAGTCTTCGTTATAACCTCACGGTGCTGTCCTGGGATGGATCTGTGCAGTCAGGGTTTCTTGCTGAGGTACATCTGGATGGTCAGCCCTTCCTGCGCTATGACAGGCAGAAATGCAGGGCAAAGCCCCAGGGACAGTGGGCAGAAGATGTCCTGGGAAATAAGACATGGGACAGAGAGACCAGGGACTTGACAGGGAACGGAAAGGACCTCAGGATGACCCTGGCTCATATCAAGGACCAGAAAGAAGGTGAGAGTCGGCAGGGGCAAGAGTGACTGGAGAGGCCTTTTCCAGAAAAGTTAGGGGCAGAGAGCAGGGACCTGTCTCTTCCCACTGGATCTGGCTCAGGCTGGGGGTGAGGAATGGGGGTCAGTGGAACTCAGCAGGGAGGTGAGCCGGCACTCAGCCCACACAGGGAGGCATGGGGGAGGGCCAGGGAGGCGTACCCCCTGGGCTGAGTTCCTCACTTGGGTGGAAAGGTGATGGGTTCGGGAATGGAGAAGTCACTGCTGGGTGGGGGCAGGCTTGCATTCCCTCCAGGAGATTAGGGTCTGTGAGATCCATGAAGACAACAGCACCAGGAGCTCCCAGCATTTCTACTACGATGGGGAGCTCTTCCTCTCCCAAAACGTGGAGACTGAGGAATGGACAGTGCCCCAGTCCTCCAGAGCTCAGACCTTGGCCATGAACGTCAGGAATTTCTTGAAGGAAGATGCCATGAAGACCAAGACACACTATCACGCTATGCATGCAGACTGCCTGCAGGAACTACGGCGATATCTAGAATCCAGCGTAGTCCTGAGGAGAAGAGGTACGGACGCTGGCCAGGGGCTCTCCTCTCCCTCCAATTCTGCTAGAGTTGCCTCACCTCCAAGATGTGTCCAGGGAAACCCTCCCTGTGCTATGGATGAAGGCATTTCCTGTTGGCACATCGTGTCCTGATTTTCCTCTATTGTTAGAGCCACTGGATAAAGACAGTGGGTCAGGGACTGGACCATCCAGTGTTGTAATCAGGGCAAGTAGAGGACCCTCCGACAGAATCCTGAGCCTGTGGTGGGTGTCAGGCAGGAGAGGAAGCCTTCAGGGCCAGGGCTGCCCCCTCTGCCTCCCAGCCTGCCCATCCTGGAGAGTTCCCTCCTGGCCCCACAACCCAGGAGTCCACCCCTGACATCCCCCTCCTCAGCATCAATGTGGGGATCCCAGAGCCTGAGGCCACAGTCCCAAGGCCCATCCTCCTGCCAGCCTGGAAGAACTGGGCCCCAGAGTGAGGACAGACTTGCAGGTCAGGGGTCCCGGAGGGCTTCAGCCAGAGTGAGAACAGTGAAGAGAAACAGCCCTGTTCCTCTCCCCTCCTTAGAGGGGAGCAGGGCTTCACTGGCTCTGCCCTTTCTTCTCCAGTGCCCCCCATGGTGAATGTCACCCGCAGCGAGGCCTCAGAGGGCAACATCACCGTGACATGCAGGGCTTCCAGCTTCTATCCCCGGAATATCACACTGACCTGGCGTCAGGATGGGGTATCTTTGAGCCACGACACCCAGCAGTGGGGGGATGTCCTGCCTGATGGGAATGGAACCTACCAGACCTGGGTGGCCACCAGGATTTGCCAAGGAGAGGAGCAGAGGTTCACCTGCTACATGGAACACAGCGGGAATCACAGCACTCACCCTGTGCCCTCTGGTGAGCCTAGGGTGACCCTGGAGAGGGTCAGGCCAGGGTAGGGACAGCAGGGATGGCTGTGGCTCTCTGCCCAGTGTATAACAAGTCCCTTTTTTTCAGGGAAAGTGCTGGTGCTTCAGAGTCATTGGCAGACATTCCATGTTTCTGCTGTTGCTGCTGCTGCTGCTGCTATTTTTGTTATTATTATTTTCTATGTCCGTTGTTGTAAGAAGAAAACATCAGCTGCAGAGGGTCCAGGTGAGAAAAGCGGGCAGTTTCTGGAGATGGTAAGGCCCCTGTCTGGGCAGTAGGGTCCCCTCATTGCTCCTGCAAAGATAGGCATGTTGGTGACAAGGCTTCTGTAACAGGGGATGAAAGTTGGGGAATTTGGGAAGGGAATGGGGGCAGCATCTCCATCTACACCCATAAGTGCTGCCCAAGCGAGGGTCAAACGCCCAGCTGTGGCATCTTCCTGCTGCAGGTGAGGAGTGGGCAGCAGGGAGGGCTGCGGCGCCTGCTCTGTCCCCATCCCGGTCTCTGTGTCTCTTGGACTCACTAGGGCGCATCCAGGTGGGGTGAGCTGGGAATCACGTGCTGAATGCTGAGGGCCTGGATGATCACGGCCTCAGAGGGAGCAAATAGTAAAGGCAGCTGTGATCTGGGGAGGGCCAGAAACTGGAGAGGAATCTGAGGAGAGGCGGTGCCCCTATTCCCTTCCTCTCTGCATCCCCCTCCCCTGTTTCTCCAGCCATCGGGGCGGACACCGAGAAAAAGACCTATGAGGCCCAGCCTGGGGGCCCTGCCTGTGTAGCCCTTTGGAGACCCCTAGTAACAGGGAGGGTCCTGAGCACACATGGCCATCTCTGTCCACTGTGCAGCTCCCCATGCACCTCCTCCAGGAGCTTTCTTGGGGTTGTCGTGTCCTCTGCACCATTCGAGGCCCTACTCTTTCCAGGTTCCCACGGCCTGGCCTCCCTGAGTTTCTTGCAGATGACATGGATGAGTAGATAAGCAGATGTCCCTGGGCCATTTGAGGAGTGGGGCCCAGCCCCTCATCAGGGCAGCTGTGGTCCCTGTTTTCATCCTACCTCCGAGTGTTTTCTTCTCCAGTCCCTGAGGGACACAGTCCTCAGGGCCCATGTTTTTGGGGATTTAATCTGTGCTCTGTGGCCTCACCTTGCCTTCCCTGAGCCAATTTCCCTTTCTAAAGGTGGTCACTGCCTGGTAAGTTTGGAGTAAGGGACGGTCAGAATCATTTCCCCTACAGTCAGGTTGTTTGATGGGGGATGAAAAGAGACAGCAGGAAGTTTTGTGTTTCTGCAAAGACAGAAGCAGTTCAGGCGACAGTAAGAGGCTGGGGTGTCCAGGAGGGTGTGTCTGGCAGTAGGGTCGCTGGTTTCTCATCCTTGAACCTAATTGCACTGTCAGTCGGCCCCTCAGGCCTGAGCAGATGGGAAGGTTTGTCCCCTGCCCTGCAGCAAGAGGGCCCTGTCCAGGAGGCACCCACAACAGAGGCAGTGCAGGTCTGTGGTCACTCCTACTCTCACCTGTGGCGTCTCCCGTAGAGGGATTGTCAGTTCTGGTTCCCTGTGGGCAGGAATGGTTTCCTCATAGGTCACTGGAGTTTTGGCCAGGAAAAGAGTATGAAGTTCATGTGGCAGTTTCTCAAAATTCCTGCTTTCAATGTTGATGTCCAGTAAAGATATTCGTAATTTCAGCTCTATAATCTTAATAGGATTTCCTCTAATATTGTGAAGCATATTATATGAAACAGGAACACAAATTTCTCAAAATTCCTGCGATGTCCAATAAAGATTTTCATAATTTCAGCTCTGCAATCTTAATAGGATTTCCTAATACTGTAAAGCATATTAAATGAAACAGGAACTCAAATTTGGAGCCCCCTCTCCAGGAGGTTCTGTGTGGAGATGGTGGCTGTGGCAGTGGCAGTTCCCAGGTGCAGAGGGTGGGCAGAGGCAGCCTCAGGCTAAGGGGTCTCCCCTACTCCACATGGAGAAAATCCCTTGTAGGTTGCAAGGGCAGTGGCCGGGTGGAATCCCTGCTAGGGACAGAGCAGGAAGGCCTCGCAGCCTCACCAAGCAGCAGCCCTGGGGTGGAGCTGCGTTTCCAGGGTTAAGCGGACCAGGCAGGAGTAGCGGTTACTCAAGAGCAGGTCACAGGCTTGGGTTGTGAGGGTCAGGAGAGGCCAGGCCTCCTCGAGCAAGGTGGGGGTCCCAGGGTCAGGTCAGGTGCAGATCCTGTGGCAGCCACGTCTTTCCATGCTGGGCCTGCTGGGCCCCCCAGGCTTCCTGATGGGGTCCCCAGTTAGGAGCTGCCTGCTCAGGGCTGGGAGGGGAGGAGCACTGAGCTGCAGATAGAGGGCAGAGCCCACAGTGGGCAGGGCCTGCCCTGGTGTGTAGGTGCCTCTGCAGGAGAGGAGGGCCTGGGGACTGAGAGCAAGGGTCAGGGCCTCTCTTTGGGGAGGCCTCTCACTGTAACAGGACTGGTCAGGCCTGAGAGGAGGGCACTGGGTTCCCTCTTGGGTCTTGTCCTTTAGTCTTGGGGCCCTTTCCCTCCCTGCACGATGAGTGGTGGGCACAGGGCACGGGCTGATGTTGATGGAGTGATGGGAGGGAACTGGCAGGGGCTGGGAAAAGCAAGGAGGGAGGAAGAAAAAAGTGGGGGCCTCATCTTCCCTCAGAGAAAGGGCAAATCTGGTTTTGGAGCAACTGAAGAGAGAAAAGTCCCCAGGGAATAAACACAACACTGCACCCAGTGGAGCATTTACCCATTTCCCTCTTTTCTCCAGAGCTCGTGAGCCTGCAGGTCCTGGATCAACACCCAGTTGGGACGAGTGACCACAGGGATGCCACACAGCTCGGATTTCAGCCTCTGATGTCAGCTCTTGGGTCCACTGGCTCCACTGAGGGCGCCTAGACTCTACAGCCAGGCGGCTGGAATTGAATTCCCTGCCTGGATCTCACAAGCACTTTCCCTCTTGGTGCCTCAGTTTCCTGACCTATGAAACAGAGAAAATAAAAGCACTTATTTATTGTTGTTGGAGGCTGCAAAATGTTAGTAGATATGAGGCATTTGCAGCTGTGCCATATTAATTGGTGTCATTGTTTTTGTTGTTTTCGTATTATTATTTTTTTTTTTTAAGACAGAGTCTCAGGCCAGGCACGGTGGCTCACGCCTGTAATCCCAACACTTTGGGAGGCCGAGGCGGGCGGATCACAAGGTCAAGAGATCGAGACCATCCTGATCAACATGGTGAAACCCTGTCTCTACTAAAAATACAAAAAATTAGCTGGGCCTGGTGGCGTGTGCCTGTAGTCCCAGCTACTCAGGAGCTGAGGCAGGAAAATCACTTGAACCTGGGAGGTGGAGGTTGCAGTGAGCTGAGATCACACCACTGCACTCCAGCCTGGCGACAGAGCGAGACTCTGTCTCAAAAAAAAAAAAAAAAAAGGACAGAGTCTCACTCTGTCACCCAGGCTGCAGTTCAGTGACATGATCTCAGCTCGTTGCAGCCTCCGCCTCCCGGGTTCAAGCACTTCTCTTGCCTCAGCCTCCCGAGTAGCTGGGGTTACAGACATGCACCACCATACCCGGCTAATTTTTGCATTTTTCATAGAGACAGGATTTTGCCATGTTGGCCAGGCTGGTCTCAAACTCCTGACCTCAGGTGATCTGCCTGCCTCAGGCTCCCAAAGTGCTGGGATTACAAGCATGAGCCACCATACCCGGCCTATTTTATTACATTTTAATTTATTTTATTTTATTATATCATCCACCATGTCTGGCCTATTTTATTATATTTTAAGATATTTTAATATATTACGTGTGTTGTAATTGGATTATCATCAGTGAGCTTTGTGAGTGAGTGTCTTGGAGATGACTCCTCCTGACCAGCCCAGGACCAGCTTTCTTGTCACCTTGAGGTCCCCTCGCCCCATCACACTCTTACGCATTACTCTATGTCTACTGTTATGGGTGTGTAATTTTATACCATAGATGTTTACTCTTTAAACAGACACTTCTAGTCTGTTTTATTTCATGTGTCTGGGAGCGGATAAAGTGTGAGGTTCAGGGAGAAAGAGAGGTCTGTCTCAATGCCTTGGCACGGCATGAAGACAATCTCCCCTCCTTGTCCCCTTTCCCTGCTAGCTCCTGATGACTGACAGATTCACAGCAGAACAGAAAGGACTGGGAAGGGATGGAGGTGGGACATCTGGCACTGACCTTCAGGGGCTGACCCTGTGGGGGAACATCTGCCCTGAAGAGTTGGAGCCTTCATGTGATGACACAGAGCTGAAGTGTGATATTCGGGAGGGGATAGAGAGTGCTTGGAGGTTTTCTGATTTTGAAGAATCCCAGTCAGTCAGGTTCTGGCGTAAAGTGACTGCTGGGGAGGTGTGGACTGAATGAATGAAGAATAAATGAACCAGGAAAGTGGACATGCAAGAGGTGGGTTATTCCTCACCCTATTTCTTGATGCCTCCTGACTGCTGGTGTTGGGGCACACAGATGGGTGATGCACTTCTTGGTCAAGGCAACCTCAGCCCCACCCACGTAAGGTGGTCATGGCAGAGAGTGTAAGGGTGACACCTGTGAAAAAGACCCAAGGCAGGGATGGGAGCCCTTCTTGCAGCAGGAGTGGATGCAGGACCTGCCTGGAAGCAAGAGAAGGACGAGGGACCCTGGCTGGGCCCTGTTTCCTCCCACTGCCTGGTTCACAAAGCAACCAGTAAGGGAGCTGGAGTAGGGAATTCACTCATGTGCTACTTACTGATCCAGAGATGTGTTCGTTGACATTTTCTTTTATGTTTTCAGGTTGATGTCATTTACACATTCATGCATTTATGTTGTGTATTTATTAGTCTTGTTTATTTTAGTTAGCAAGTGTCACTTGTTGAATTCTGTTCTCATTAGGTATAAATTTTCATATTCATTGAAGTTTTTATAATCAAAATTTAATTGTCCATGATTTTAAAAGTCAAATATTTGCATAGGATTTCTCTAGAGAAATGAGTCCTCTCTGCATCTTCTCAATTTCTGCCTTCCTAGAGGCAACCATTTTCAACATTTTTAGCTAAGTCTTTCAACTTTTACTTCCATATGTCTAAATACAATTCCTTCATTAATACTGCTTGATTTTTCCGTTGCAGTCATTATCTGTTGCACAGCACAGTGGTGAATGCAATAGTTAATTGTACCTGTTCCCTTTCACTCTTCCCATTCTTTCATCTTCCCGATGTATTTCTGTAGTAATTATGTTTGGTTCAGTCGTTCCTTGTTTCCTTTTCCATGACTAATTTTCTCATATGTCAGCTTGACCACTTTTCACTTCCTGAACATTTGTTCTTCCTGTAGTTAATACTTGCCTTTGTTTTTGTTTATTTTATAAATAGCACTCATTAACGTTGATATTTCTTCTATTTGTATTACTCCTTTTTTTGGGATGGAGTCTCACTCTGTTGTCCAGGCTGGAGTGCAGTGGTGCGATCTTGGCTCACCACAACCTCCGCCTCCCAGGTTCAAGCGATTCTCCTGCCTCAGCTTCCCGAGTAGCTGGGATTACAGGCACTCACCACCATGCCCAGCTAATTTTTGTATTTTTAGTAGAGACGGCGTTTCACCATGTTGGCCACAATGATGTCGATCTCTTGACCTCGTGATCCACCCACCTCAGCCTCTGAAAGTGCTGGGATTACAGGCGTGAGACATCGCGCCTGGCCTTTTTTTTTTTTTTTTGAGATGGAGTCTCGCTCTTGTTGCCCAGGCTGGAATGCAATGGCACAATCTTGGCTCACCACAACCTCCACCTCCCAGGTTCAAGGGATTCTCCTGCCTCAGCCTCCCGAATAGCTGGGATTACAGGCATGCACCACCACACCCGGCTAATTTTGTATTTTTAGTAGAGACAGTTTCTCCGTATTGGTCAGGCTGGTCTCGAACTCCTGACCTCAGGTGATTCACCCGCCTCGGCTTCCCAAAGTGCTGGGATTACAGAGGTAACCCACTGCACCCAGCCGTAGTACTCTTTTAAGAAATTACAGACTTTGGATATTCCACTTTACCTTCTTGGAAATGTCCCTCCTGGGCCCTTCTCGCTGCTCCCATCTGGACTGGAGGCTTCTCCCTGTGGAGCAGAGTCACTGTCCTAGGATCTCCCTCCACCGCCATCTGGGGCAGTGCTTTACATGCAGTGGAGCCACCTGGGGTCCAGCCAAAATGCAGACTGATTCAAGATGTCAAGGCTGAGGCATATGAGCCTTTCTGTCTAGTTTCATGAGATGCTGATTCTCCTGGTTCGTGTGTGTGTGTGTGTAGAGAGAGAGAGAGAGAAAGGGAATTTTGCTCTGTCAGCCAGGCTGGAGTGCAGTGGTGCCATCATGGCTTACTACAGGCTCAACCTCATAGGCTCAAGTGACCCTCCTACCTCATCTTCCTAGGTAGTCAGGACCACAGGCCACATCCTAATATATTTTTAATTAACTGATGCAGTTTCTTTCTAAATTAGTAAGAGGGCTGAGCATTTTTTCATTGTGGCAAAAAATACACATAAAATTTACTATCATAACTATTTTTAAGAATACAGTACCATTGGCCAGGTGTGGTGGCTCATGCCTGTAATCCCAGCAATTTGGGAGGCTAAGGCAGGAGGATCACTGGAGGCCTACAGTTCAAGTCAGGCTTGGGGAAAGTAGTGAGACCCTGTCTCCAGCCAAAAAAAAAAAATTAAATTAAAATATACTGTACTATAATAGTGTTAATTGTAAGCACAGTGTAGTGCAACCGATCTTTAGAATATTTCACCTTGAAAGCTGAAACTCTGTGCCCCTTTCACAAAAATCCTTATTACCTGGAAGTTTTACCTGGCAGCCACCATTCTACCTTCACATTCATCAAGTTTGACTGTTTTAGACACCTCATGTAAATGGAATTATGCAGTACTTGGAGTTTTTTTTTTTTTTCTGATTGGCATATTTCACTTAGCAATGACTTTAAGGTTCATATACGTTGTAGCATATAGCAAGATTTTCTTCTTTTAAATGTTGAATAATATTCCATTGTCTGTATATAATCATATTTTCTTGATCTATTCATCTGTTGGTAAACATATAGGTTGCTTCCATATCTTGCCTGTTGTGAATAACACCATTATGAATATGGATATGCAATCTTTCTT
This sequence comes from Homo sapiens, assembly GCF_000001405.40. Lineage (NCBI taxonomy): Eukaryota > Metazoa > Chordata > Mammalia > Primates > Hominidae > Homo > Homo sapiens. Next base: position 2,727,985 of record NT_167246.2, read on the forward strand.
TTCACTTTTGTATCCCCCCTCATTTTGGTGCAACTAATCTTCTAGTAGCTTTTCCTGAAAGCACGTGCTTAAAGTACATTTGTGTGTTTCAACATATCTACTATCATTTTGCCTCTCTCCAGGAAGAGGAAAGAAATGTATTAAGGTGCTCTTTGGCACAGCATTTAATGGTAAAGAAAGAAACAGTATAACTGGCCAGTGCTGGGTTTCAGCATCCTGCAATTTCAGAACTACTGTGAATACAAAAGAAAGAAAGGTCCTGCCCAGGATGGGAGTCACTCCTATATATGGTGGCCCTGGGACAGCAGACCTTTCCTGTCACACCTCTTCCATGAGGGCCCTTACTTCAGTGACTGTGGTGCTTTCCTTCTCTCTATGGTCTATCTATCTATCTATCCAGTTGGTTGGGTTTCTCTGGAGAACCCTAATATACCAATGGACAGTAAGCAAATAAAACCTAGTATTACCACTAATTGCCATTGAGAAAAATATGCCTAGGCCAGAAGATTGGTGATGGTGGGAATAGCAGGGACATAGTTTAGACAAGGTCATTGAGCAAGACGTTTCTGAGAACTTGACCACTGGTTATCTGAGAAGAGACCTGAATCGTGTGAGGAGTGAGTCATGTGAATCCCTGGGGAGCAGGTACATGTGGGAGTCAGAGCATGGGTAGGTGGCAGAAATAGGGCAGAGCAGTGACAAGAGGCTGGTGTGAGTGGAGACAAGTGAGCTGGGCGGAGAGGAGTGGGATGAGCCCAGAGTTGACAGAGGGGCCCTGTGTTGAGGGGCTTGTAGGAAATGGTGAGACATTGGGGTTTCATTGCACTAAGAGGGGAAGAAGCTAGAGTGGCTTTGGGATGTGGTGGTGATGATGTGCTCTAATTCCCGTTTGAAAGGTTTACTCTACCTGTTGTGTGGGTGATGGACAGCGGCGTGAATGTCTCTTCATGTCCATTACCCATTTTTGAATGGCGTTGTTTTTTTAATGGATGAGTTGTAGTTTTTTATGTATTTTGAATATTAATTCTTCATCAGATATATGATTGGCAAATAGCTCCTCCCATTCTGTGCATTTTCTTTCCACTCTTTTAATAATGTCACTTGTTGCAAAAAAGTTTTTAAATCTGATAAAGTCTAATTTATCATTTTTCTTTAATTGCTCATGCTTTGGGTCATCCAGCCAAGAAACTACTACCAAATCCAATGTTCACAAGACTTTCCTCAATGTTTTCTTCTAAGGGTTTTACAGGTTTGACTCTTAAGCTTCGTTGTTTGATACATTCTGAGTTAATTGTTGAGTATGGTGTAGGGAAGGCTATGAATTGTGTCCAACATCATTCTTTTGTATGCGGATATCCAGTTTCTCAGCACCACTTGTTGCAGCACCATCTGTGGAAGTGAGGCTGACACATTTGCAAAATGCATTGAGCACTAGTACACCATGCATTTATTTACTTTTCTTTACTCCACAGTTGTTTTGAGGAGGCTTCCAGTGACAAACACAACAGAAATGAAAATACATGAATTCTTATAAAATCAATATCAAGTAGAATTATAAACTTTAAAATGTTAAGAGTGAGGCAAGGCTAGATCATTACTAGACAAGCTGAAACATAGACTGAAATGGAGGGTTTACGGTTTTCCTTGCTACAAATTTTGTTGGCCCACAATCTGTCATGCTTACTGCATAAGGGAGCCAGCCACAGGGTGGGTTGATAGCTCACATAACCAGTCCCTGGTTTCCTGCTTCAGAAACAAGTTCAGATTCTCTCCACTTACAGTAAAAAAGTGAATTGCAGGATGTTCAAAGTGAAGTTGACATCTACAAAGTCAACAAATAAGTAGTAAGTGTAGACCTCAGAAATTTAACAAGATTCTACTTTTTCCCCCAAAAAAATGTCCTCACAATTTCCTGCTGAAAGGAGAGGGTTCATTCAGGGGACCACATGATGCCGTTCTTCTGCTGCAGTTCTAAATTAAGTTGTCCTTCCCTCTAACTACAGGTCTCACAAACCCTTGCAGCCAGCTTCAATGATTTTAGCTTGACTAAGGTTTTGGGTTTTTGATATTGTTTGTATTTGAGCTGCAGCCTGGGGCTTAGAAATGTGACTTGGGTATTTTGCCAAAATGGTATGTTTTTCTATAGAATTTGACGTTGTGGAGACCCTGCTTTTCTGCCAGGTCCCCAGAGGGGATACAGTGCTTTGTACCTCTTTTTAGTACTTCATTAGCAGTGATAGAAGATTTGGAGTGAGGGCCTCCCTCAATCTCTACCCTCTGCCTAGTGCAGAGGATCATGGACTGTTGCAGTTATGGCAACAAAAAATTTCTCCAGACATAGCTCCTGTCCTCTGGTGGGAAAATCTCCCCTGGATGAGAACACTAGTTTGAGAGGTAGAGACACTCAGGAGCTGGGCTTGGACAGGGGAAGGGAAGAGGAGACAGACACAAAACGGAGTGGGGCTGGGAAACAGGCAAAGGGAGTTCAGGCCTGGAGGGACCTGGCCTGATGAGGCACATGAGGAATGGGGAGAGTGGCAGGATCTCCTATTGCCAGAAAATCGTACTTGTACCCACTGCATTCCCAGCCCTGGTGTATGCATCTCTGGGAAATCAGAATGAATTTGGCTATTATGGTGTCAGAAAGAGCCCTGAAGAGCCTCGTGTGCCTGTCAATGTAATGAAAGTGCAGGTGACAGCCCCTCCTGGAAATATTGTTGCCAAATGTTTAACCCAGATCTGCCTCGGTCTTTAGGAAACACAGCAGAGAGAAGAGCAAAGTAAAAGGCATCAGGGGAAATAATATGATAAATTCGGTGTGGAGAGCATGCTAAAGTTATTTGGCCTGCAATAAGTAATGCTGTTCTAAAAGAAAAAAGGATTAGTGGATTGTTGTAGATTACAGGTAACTAAAGGACACATAATCAAAGGCAATGAGTGGATATTTTATGGAACCAAGTTATAAAAAATGTACAAAGAATAGATTGAAGAAGTGAAGATACTTGAATATGAAAGGACTTTAGATAATATGGAATTATTGTTTATTTTCTTTGGTGTGATAATGTAGGTTTTTACTCTTAGGAGATGCACGATGAGGTGTTTAGTGGTGAAATATCATGGGTCTAGCAAGTTACTTTAGAATGGTTCAGTCAAAAATCTTAGTCTCTTCATTCTGTCTCTCTTCATACATACACACACACATACACTCACATATACACACTATACAAACACATACAGCTGAAGCAGCATAAAACCTAGTTTCTAGTAGAGGGATGCAAAAAGGGAGGAGAATTGGTAAGTTAGAGTTTTTTGGCAAAGGACTGACAATGCGCCACATGGATAGGACTTCTATTCCGCTAGCTGGTGCTGTTGACCTTGAAACTCCATGTGCACTCCAGACCAAGGGCAGAGAGAGATGCTCACTGTGGCGGGTAGGGGGGATGTGCTCCTAGAAAATCACAATGACATTCCCCTGAGCTATATCCCTGGTTACTACAGCATTTCCTGATCTTGCCTAACAGGATTACTTCCCTGAACTGTAAAATTCCTGCAGCATTGTATACAGAGAAAGAATAGGAGACATGGCAATCATGGACAAGAAAGGAGGAAATCGTGATAGGAAAGTTAGAGATCCTGTTGCCAACACCCAGTCAGGCATTCGGAGGCTGGGGTCAGTCTAGAAGCCTTTCATAATGCCACGTGGTAGCTCCATCCAGAAATCCTCAGTTGCTCCCTGACTTCTTCCAGCCCCAGGTGATGGCTAGATCCTCCATGAAAGGAAACTGGTTCAAACACGGCCAATATGCCCAGCAACCCATGGGTAATGGGGGATTCTCCATGTTCTCCCCAGGAAGCCTGTCTCCCGTCTTGTAATGCTGGGAGCCACACTAATCATTTTTAAATGGCTGAAGGGGACCCAGTATTTGGTTTGATTTGATTCTAAAAATGGAGGCCAAGAGCCTCAAAATAAAAAAACAGAGTGGAGGTCTGCTCCTGTACTCACCATTCTGATGAATGTACCTTGGGATCCTGAATGAGCACCAAAAATAAAGCAGCACCTTTGTCTGGGGTGATACCTGAGATGCATTGCCTCATGCCAAGAAAATTAAGGACACAGACACACACAAGGAGTGAGTTTAGGAGTAGAGGTTTAATAGGCAAAAGAAAAGAAAGAGAAAGAAGAATAGCTCTCTCTCCTGTGAGAGAAGGGGCACGCAAGTGGGAATTCCAGCCCATGGCAGAGTGCACTGGATTTTATACACAGGCTGAAAGAGGTGTCTGATTTGCACAGGGCCCACAGATTGGTTGGACCAGGTGTGATGTTTACATAGTGCATGGGGAAGCTGACCACCCCACCCTAATCTTCTTATGCAAATAGGCTTTCCACTTGGCTGACACCATGTTGTCTGCTCCCTGCTGCACACGTGGTTGGAAAGGAAAAGTGAAGATGGAGCCGCCATTTGAACATGCCTAGTCCCAGGTAGCCTTTTCCTATTGGCACAACTGCTGGCATTCACTCAGGCAAGCTTCCAGCTTGCTTGTCTATGTCTGCAGCTCAATTTTACAGGCTGCTCTTTGTTAGAAAAGAAAATGATTTGGGGGCTGCTTTTCATTAAAAGGAAAACCTTACCAAGGACTTCTTTACTCTCACTATCTGCCTAAATAATTTCTTTTTAACTCCTCTATCAGTTACAAAATCAGTTTTAAAGCACATACTGTTCTGTGATATTGGGATATCTGGACATTTTGTTGTCATAGGAGTTTATCCTTGCAGGTATTACCAAACTGCTTCCTTAGCTATCAACATCCTAGGACCATGGGTCATGACAAGCAAGGAATGTACCCTGCTAGTTTAAAGATAAACTTGATTTGCGGGGAGGGGGTGGTTTTTAGTTACATGGGTAAGTTCTTTTGTGGTGGTTTCTGAGATTTTGGTGCATCCATCATCTGAGGAGTGTACATGTACCCAATGTGTAGTCTTTTCTCCCGCACCATCCTATGACCCTACCCTCTGAGTCCCCAACGTTCATTATATCATTCTTTTGCCTTTGCATGCCCATATAAGTGAGAACACATGACATTTAGATTTCAATTCCTGAATTACTTCTCTTAGAATAATGGCCTCCAACGTCATTCAGGCTGCTGCAATTGCCGTTATTTCACTTCTTTTTGTGGCTGAGTAGCATTCTACGGTATATATATATATACACCACATTTTCTTTTTTTTAATTACACTTTTTATTTTGAGGTAATCATAGATCCACATGTAACTGTAAGAAATAGTAAAGAGGGCAGGCATGGTGGCTCACGCCTGTAATCCCAGCACTTTGGGAGGTGGAGAGAGCAGGATCACTTGAGACCAGGAGCTCAAGACCAACCTGGGCAACACAGCAAGACCCTGTGTCTTACCAATAAAATAATAATAATAATAAAGAGAAATGTCATACATTCTTTACCCATTATTCTTCAATGACATGTTACAAACTACAGCATAATATCACAAGGGACACTGACATTGATATGGTCAAGACACAGAACAGTTCTACCACCACAAGGAGCCCTCATGTTACCCTTTTATAATCACACTGACCTTTCCCCGCTTCCATGCCTAACCGCTGGCAACCACTAACATATTCTCTACTTCTATTAAACTTGTCATTTCAAGAAAGTGATATGAATGGAATCATGCAGTATGTGTTCTTTTGATATTGGCTTTTTTTTTCACTCAGCATGATTCCCTAAAGATTCAAGGATTCATTTACATTCTTGGATGTATCTATCAATAGATTGTTGGTTTTTTTGTTTTTTTGTTGTTGTTTTTTTTAATTATACTTTAGGCTCTAGGGTACATGTGCACAACGTGCAGGTTTGTTACATATGTATACATGTGCCATGTTGGTGTTCTGCACCCATTAACTCTTCATTTACATTAGGTATTTCTCCTAATGCTTTCCCTCCCCACTCTTCCCTCCCCCAACCCCACGACAGGCCCCAGTGTGTGATGTTCTCCACCCCGTGTCCAGGTGTTCTCATTGTTCAATTCCCACCTATGAGTGAGAATATGCGGCGTTCAGTTTTCTGTCCTTGTGATAGTTTGCTCAGAATGATGGTTTCCAGCTTCATCCATGTCCCTACAAAGGACATAAACTCATCCTTTTTATGGCTGCACAGTATTCCACGATATACACCACATTTTCATTTTCCACTCATTGATTGACGGACATTTGGGCTGGTTCCATATTTTTGCAACTGTGAATTGTGCTGCTATAAACATGTGTGTGCAAGTATCTTTTTCATATAATGACTTCTTTTCCTCTGGTACATACCCAGTAGTAGGATTGCTGGATAAAATTGTAAATCTACTTTTAGTTCCCTAAGGAATCTCCATACTGTTTTCTATAGTGATTGTACTAGTTTACATTCCTGCCAGCTGTGTAAAAGTGTTCCCTTTTTACCACATCCACACCAACACCTATTATTTTTTTATTTTTCAATTATGGCCACTATTGCAGAAGTAAGGTGGTATTGCATTGTGGTTTTCACTGGCATTTCCCTGATAATTAGGGATGCTGAGCATTTTTTTATGTTTGCTGGCCATTTGTATATCCTCTTTTGAGAATTTTCTATTCCTGTACTTAGCCTTCTTTTTGATGGGATTATTCATTTTCCTCTTGCTGATTTGTTTGAGTTCCTTGTAGATTCTGGACATCAGTCCTTTGTCAAATGCATAGTTTGTGTATATGTTCTCCCTCTCTATGGGTCGTCTGTTAACTCTGTTGATTATTTCTTTTGCTATGCGGAGGCTTTTTTGCTGAATTAGGTCCCATGAATTTATTTTTGTTTTTGTTGCATTTGCTTTTGGGTTCTTGCTCATGAAGTCATTGCCTAAACCAATGTCTAGAAGGGTTTTGTTCAGTGTTATCTTCTAGAATTTTTATGGTTTCAGGTCTTAGATTTAAGTCTTTGATCCATCTTGAGTTAATTTTTGTATACGGTGAGACATAGGATCCAGTTTCATTCTTCTACATGTGAGTTGCCAATTATCCCAGCAACATTTGTTGAATAGGGTGTCATTTCCCCACTTTATGTTTTCATTTCCTTTGTCAGAGATCAGTTGACTGTAAGTATTTGGTTTTATTTCTGGGTTCTCTATTCTGTTTCATTGGTCTACATGAGTCTTTAGGGTTTTCTAGCTGTACAATCATATCATCAGCAAACAGCAACAGTTTGACTTTCTCTTTGCCAATTCGGATGCCCTTTATTTCTTTCTCTTGTCTGATTGCTCTGGCTAGAACTTTCAATACAATGTTGAAGACAAGTGGTGAAAGTGGACATCCTTACCTTGTTTCAGTTATCGGGGGAATGATTTCTAATTTCCCTCATTCAATATAATGTTGCCTGTAGGTTTGTCATAAATGGCTTTTACTACCTTCAGGTATGTTCCTTGTATGCCAACTTTGTTGAAGCTTTTAATCATAAAGCAATGCTGGATTTTGTAAAATGTTTGTCAAATGTTTTTTGTGCGTGGTTAATACTAAGTGTCAACTTGATTTGGATTGAAGGATACAAAGTATTGATCCTCGGTGTGTCTATGAGGGTGTTGCCAAAAGAGATTAACATTTGAGACAGTGGGCTGGGGAAGGCAGATCCACCCTTAATCTGGTGGGCACAGTCTAATCAGCTGCCATTTAACATAAAGCAAACAGAAAAACAAGAAAAGGAGAGACACTGGCCTAGCCTCCCAGCCTACATCTTTCTCCCATGCTGGATGCTTCCTGCCCTTGAACATTGGACTCCAAGTTCTTCCCTTTTGGGACTCAGGCTGGCTCTCCTTGCTCCTCAGCTTGCAGACAGCCTATTATGTGACCCTGTGATTGTGTAAGTTAGTACTCAATAAGCATATATATATATTATATATTATATATGTTTTATATATATTATATATTATATATGTTTTATATATAATATATATTATAATATATATTATTCTATTATTATATTATTCTGTTAATATTAAATACTAACATAATATATATTATATATAAAATAATATATATATAACGTACTAACTTACATTTTGTGTGTGTGTGTATATATATATTCTATATATATATTCTATATATATATTCTATATATATATTCTATATATATATTCTATATATATATTCTATATATATATTCTATATATATATTCTATATATATATTCTATATATATATTCTATATATATATTCTATATATATATTCTATATATATATTCTATATATATTCTATATATCTATTCTATATATATTCTATATATCTATTCTATATATTCTATATATCTATTCTATATATGTTCTATATATTCTATATATATATTCTATATATATTCTATATATATTCTATATATATATTCTATATATATTCTATATATATTCTATATATATATATTCTATATATATTCTATATATATATTCTATATATATTCTATATATATATTCTATATATATTCTATATATATTCTATATATATTCTATATATATATTCTATATATATATTCTATATATATTCTATATATATTCTATATATATATTCTATATATATTCTATATATATATTCTATATATATATTCTATATATATATTCTATATATATATTCTATATATATATTCTATATATATTCTATATATATATTCTATATATATTCTATATATATATTCTATATATATTCTATATATATTCTATATATATTCTATATATTCTATATATTCTATATATATTCTATATATATTCTATATATTCTATATATATTATATATATATTATATATATTCTATATATATTATATATATTCTATATATATTCTATATATTCTATATATATTCTATATATATTATATATATTCTATCTATATATTCTATATATATTATATATATTCTATCTATATATTCTATATATATATTCTATCTATATATTCTATCTATATATTCTATCTATATATTCTATCTATATATTCTATCTATATATTCTATATATATTCTATCTATATATCCTATATATATATCCTATATATATATATCCTATATATATATCCTATATATATATCCTATATGTATATCCTATATGTATATCCTATATGTATATCCTATATGTATATCCTATATGTATATCCTATATATATATCCTATATGTATATCCTATATGTATATCCTATATGTATATCCTATATGTATATCCTATATGTATATCCTATATATATATCCTATATATATATTCTATATATATATTCTATATATATATTTTATATATATATTCTATATACATTCTATATATATATTCTATATATATTCTATATATATATTCTATATATATATTCTATATATATTCTATATATATATTCTATATATATACTATATATATTCTATATATATACTATATATATTCTATATGTATATATTCTATATATATTCTATATACATATATTCTATATATATATTCTATATATATTCTATATATATATTCTGTATATATATATTCTGTATATATATATTCTATATATATATTCTATATATATATTCTATATACATATATATTCTATATATATATTCTATATACATATATATTCTATACACATTTTCCATATACATATATATTCTATATATATATTCTATATACATATTCTATATATATATTCTATATACATATTCTATATATATATTCTATATACATATTCTATATATATATATTCTATATACATATTCTATATATATATATTCTATATACATATTCTATATATATATTCTATATATATATATTCTATATATATATTCTATATATATATTCTATATGTATATTCTATATATATATTCTATATGTATATATTCTATATATATATATATATTCTATATATATATATTCTATTAGTTCTGTCCCTCTAGAAAACCTGACTAATACAGATTTTGGTAACAGGAGTGGTTCTAGAGGAACAGAATATTAAGGATGGAGTTCTTTTGTTAGTTTAGGGGTTTCTGGAGTTGGTTGCTTAATATGATTAGACCCAAAAATGCTAAGGACTCTACTTCTAATAGTGTGGAGAATGCTGATAGTCCCTGGCATGAACTGTTTAGAGAGTAACGCAAAATAAATGCATTTCACACTATTCACTGCTCCTGAGAGGCAAGTTTAGTGACTCTAACCTAATAATTTTGACCATATGTAGAGAACCAAGGAACATAATGAAGCTGGTTGGTTGCTCCTAAGTTCAGTGGACAAAGTGATAAAAGAAGATAATGAACTCAGGGATTCTGTCTCCCAGCTTCAGAAGCAGATACTGAGCCTCAAATCTGCTAAGATTGCCCCATGAGTGACAGTCTTATCTCCTGTAGAGAAAGAGCTGAAATTGTGGAAAAACAGACAAAAGCTCCTATCATGTGAGTAGCTGACCTGCGATGAAAGATGCATACACAGCCTCACCAAGTGTCTACTGTTAAAGTGAGGGCATTGATCAGAAAAGAATGAGACCCTGCAACTTGGAATGGGGATATGTGGGAGGATCCTAATGAAGCTGGGGACACTAAGTGTGTAAATTATGATGAAACTTTTTTTGCTAGAAGAATCAGCTTCCCCGTCCCTAGTATTGGCAACATCCCCTCCCCAGCCCATGCTGTCATCAGCCTTTCCACCTTTATCTGAGAAGACAAACCCTGCACTGCCTGAGGCAACAGTGATGGCCTGCCCTGAAGCAGTTGCCAGGCAAGATAATGTTGATTCTCCTCAGGAGCCACCCCTAACACCTCTGTTTGCTTCTAGACCTATGACTAGACTAAAGTCCCAGCGGTCCCCTAGAGGTGAGGTTGAGAGTGTGACCCATGAGGAGGTGCACTACACTCAAAAAGAGCTGTTTCAGTTTTCTAATTTATATCAATAGAAATGTGGAGAACAGGCATGGGAATGGATATTACAGGTATGGGATAATGGTGAAAGGAACATAGAGTTGGATAAGGCTGAATTTATTGATTTGGGCCATTAAGTAAGGACTCTGCTTTTAATGTTGCAGCTCGGGGAGTTAAAGAAGGTCGTAATAGTTTATTTTCTTGGTTAGCTGAAATATGGATTAAAAGGTGGCCCACTGTGAGCAAGCTGGAAATGTCTGATCTCCCTTGGTTTAATGTAGAGGAAGGAATTAAAAAGCTTAGGGAGATTGGGATGGTGGAATGGATTAGTCAGTTTAGACCTACTCATCCCAACTGGGAAGGTCTAGAAGATTTACCCTTGACCAGTGCCTTGTGAAATAGGTTTGTGAGGGCAGCACCTGCATCTTTGAAGAGCCCTGTAATTGCTCTTCTCTGCATGTCAGAGCTAACAGTGGGAATCACAGTACTCAACTATAAAATTTAAATACAATGGGAATAATTGGATCCCGAGGTGTCAGGGGCCAAGTGGCAGCATTCAACCATCAAAGGCAAGGTGAGTGTAGCTACCATAATGGACAGCAGAGGCAAAGTGGCAGTCATAATAGTCCAACTCATGCAGAGCTCTGGCATTGGCTAATTAATCATGGTGTTCCTAGGAATGAAATTGATAGGAAGCCTACTTCATTCCTACTTAATTTATACAAGCAGAAAACTTCTATGTGCAATGGACAAAAGACTAATTTTAATCATAAAAACAAAGAATCATGGCCCCTCAGTCAATTTCCAGACTTGAGCCAGTTTACAGACCCAGAACCCCTTGAATGAAAAGGAAGCTGGGTCTCCTTGAAGAAGGACCCCACTACATTACTGACAATTTATGCAGTGAATCTTCTTCCATCCTTCTGTGAGGAGACCTCCAGCCTTTTACCAGGGTAACTGTGCACTGGGGAGAGGAAAATGATTAGATATTTCAGGAATACAGGACACTGGCTCTGAGCTGACATTGATTCCAGGGAACCCAAAACATCATTGTGGCCCTCCAGTTAAAGTAGGAGCTTATGGAGTTCAGGTAATTAATGGAGTTTTAGCTCAGGTCTGACTTACAATGGGTACAATGAATCCCCAGACTCATCCTGTGGTCATTTCCCCACTTAATGCATTTTCCCAATTAATTTTCCCAATTAATGCATCATTTCCCCAATGCAATTTCCCCAATTAATGCATAATTGGCATAGGAATAGTTAGCAGCTGGCAGAACCCCCACACTGGCATGCTGACTGGTAGAGTGAGGGATATTATGGTGGGATAGGCCAAATGGAAGCCATCGGAGCTGCCTTTACCTGGAAAAATAGTAAATCAACAATGTCACATCCCTGGAGGTACAGAGGAGATTAGTGCCACCATGAAGAACTTAAAAGACACAGGGGTGGTGATTCAAATCACATCCCCATTCAACTCTCCCAAATGGCCTGTGCAGAAGACAGACAGATCTTGGAGAATGACAGTGGATTATTGTAAGCTTAACCAAGTGGTGACGACTCCAACTGCAGCTGCTGCACCAGATGTGGTTTCATTGCTTGAGCAAATTAACACATCTCCTGGTACCTGGTATGCAGCCATTGACTTGGCAAATGCCTTTTTCTCCATTCCTGTCCATAAGGCCCACAAGAAGCAATTTGCCTTCAGCTGGCAAGGCCAGCAATATGCGTTTACTGTCCTGCCTCAGGGGTATATCAACAATCCAGCTTTGTGTCATAATCTGATTCAAAGAAACCTTGATCACTTTCCGCTTCTGCAAGATATCACACTGGTCCATTACCTTAATGACATTGTGCTGATTGGATCCGGTGAGCAAAAAGTAGCAAACACACTGGACTTATTGATGAGACATTTGCGTGCCAGAGGATAGGAAATAAATCTGACTAAAATTCAGGGACCTTCTACCTCAGTAAAATTCTAGGGGTCCAATGGTGTGGGACCTGCCAAGATATTCCTTCTAAGGTGAAGAATAAGTTGCTGCATTTGGCTCCTCCTACAACCAAGAAAGAGGCACAATGCCTAGTGGGCCGATTTGGATTTTGGAGGCAACACATTCCTCATTTGGGTATGTTACTCCGGCCCATTTATCAAGTGACCTGAAAGGCTGCCAGTTTTGGGTAGGGTACAGAACAGGAGAAGGCTCTGCAACATGTCCAGGCTGCTGTGCAAGCTGCTCTGCCCTTTGGGCTATATGACCCAGCAAACCCAATGATGTTTGAGGTGTCAGTGGTAGATAGGGATGCTGTTGGAGCCTTTGGCAGGCCCACATAGTTGAATCACAGCAGAGGCCTCCAGGATTTTGGAGCAAGGCCCTGCCATCTTCTGCAGATAACTACTCTCCTTTTGAGAGACAGCTCTTAGCCTTAGCCTGTTACTGGGCTTTGGTAGAAACTGAACATTTGACTATGGGTCATCAAGTCACCATGCAACCTGAACTGCCTATCATGAACTGGATGCTTTGTGACTAATCTAGCCATAAAGTGGGTCATGCACAGCAGCATTCCATCATCAAATGGAAGTGGCATGTACATGATCGGGCTCAAGCAGATCCCGAAGGCACAAGTAAGGTACATGAGGAAGTGGCTCAGATGCCCAGGGTCTCCACTCCTGCCACCCTGCTTTCTCTTCCTCAGCCTGCACCGATGGCCTCATGAGGAGTTCCCTATGATCAGTTGACAGAGGAACAGAAGAATAGGGCCTTGTTCACAGATTGTTCTGCACGATATGGAGGCACCACCCAAAAGTGGACAGCTGCAGCACTACAGCCCCTTTCTAGGACATCCCTGAAGGGCAGCAGTGAAAGGAAATCTTCCTAGTGAGCAGTTCACCTGGTTGTGCAGTTTGCATGGAATGAGAAATAGCCAGATGTGCGATTATATACTGATTCATAGGCTGTAGCCAATGGTTTGGCTGGAGGGTCAGGGACTTGGAAGAAGCATGATTGGAAAATTGGTGACAAAGAAATTTGGGGAAGAGGTTTGTGGATGGACCTCTCTGGTCAAAACCCACAAAGATATTTGTATCCCATGTGAGTGCCCACCAATGGGTGATCTAAGCAGAGGAGGATTTTAATAATCAAATAGGATGACCCGTTCTGTGGACACCACTCAGTCTGTTTTCCCAGCCACTTCTGTCATCGCCCAATGGGCCAATGAACAAAGTGGCTATGGCAGTAGGGATGGAGGGTATACATAGGCTTAGCAACATAGACTTTCACTCACCAAGGCTGACCTGGCTATGGCCACTTCTGAGTGCCCAATTTGCCAGCAGCAGAGACCAACACTGAGCTCTCAATATGACACCATTCCTTGGGCGATCAGCCAGCTACCTGGTGACAGGTTGATTATTGGACCTCTTCCATTATGGAAAGGGCAGAAGTTTGTCTTCACTGGAATAGACACTTACTCCGGATATGGGTTTGCCTATCCTGCATGCAATGCTTCTGCCAAGACTACCATCATGGAGTCACAGAATACCTTGTCCACCCTTATGGTATTCCACACAGCATTGCCTCTAACCAAGGCACTCACTTCATGGCTAAAGAAGTGCAGCAGTGGGCTCATGCTCATGGAATTCACTGGTCTTACCATGTTCTCCATCCTGAAGCAGCTGGATTGATAGAATGGTGTAATGACCTTTTGAAGTCACAATAACAATGCCAACTAGGTGACGATACTTTGCAGGGCTGGGGCAAAGTTCTCCGGAAGACTGTGTATGCTCTGAATCAGCATCCAATATAGGATAGTGTTTCTCCCATAGCCAGAATTCTCGAGTACAGGAATCAAGGATTGGAAGTGGCAGCACTCACCATCACCCCTAGTGACCCACTAGCAAAATTTTTGCTTCCTGCTCCCACAACATTATGTTCTGCTGGCCTAGAGGTCTTAGTTCCAGAGGGAGGAATGCTGCCACCAGGAGACACAACATCGATTTCATTAAACTAGAAGTTAAGATTGCCACCTGGATACTTTGGGCTCCTCCTACATTTAAGTCAACAGGCTATGAAGGGAGTTACAGTGTTGGCTGGCGTGATTGACCTGGACTATCAAGATGAAATCAGTCTACTACTCCACAACAGAGGTAAGGAAGAGTATGCATGGAATACAGGCGATCCATTAGGATGCCTCTTAGTATTACCATGCCCTGTGATTAAGGTCAATGGGAAACTACAACAGCCCGATCCGGGCAGGACTACAAATGGCCCAGATCCCTCAGGAATGTAGGTTTGGGTCACTCCACCAGGAAAAAAAAACACAACCTGCTGAGGTGCTTGCTGAAGGCAAAGGGAATACAGAATGGGTAGTAGAAGAAGGTAGTCATCAATACCAGCTATGCCCACGTGACCACCTGCAGAAACAGGGACTGCAATGGTCATGAATATTTCCTCCTTCTTTTGCTAAAAGTCATGTTTGTGCATGTATACACTTGGACTAAGAAAATACCTTTATTTTATTTCCTTTTCCTTTATCATGTGACATAAGATTTATTGACTTCATGTCAGCATTTAAGTTTTATTAACTTTATGTAATAGTACTTGGGGATTGGTGCGTTTCTGGTTGTACGAAGGATCATTGTATTATGTTGGTGTAATTATGACCTTATTATTGTCTTTGTTTGAAGATTATGTATGATCTCAGGAGATGAGTATGGGTTCAAGTTGACAAGGGGTGGACTTGTGATGGTTAATACTGAGTGTCAGCTTGATTAAATTGAATGATACAAAGTATTGATCCTGGGTGTGTCTATGAGGGTATTGCCAAAAGAGATTAACATTTGAGACAGTGGACCAGGGAAGGCAGATCCATTCTTAATCTGGTGGGCACAGTCTAATCAGCTGCCAGCAAATATAAAGCAAGAAGAAAAACTTGAAAAGGAGAGAGACTGGCCTAGCCTCCCAGCCTACATCTTTCTCCCATGCTGGATGCTTCCTGCCCTCGAACATCAGATTCCAAGTTCTTCAGTTTTGAGACTCGAACTGGCTCTCCTTTCTCCTCAGCTTGCAGACAGCCTATTGTGTGAACTTGTGATTGTGTAAATTAATACTTAATAAACTCTTATATATATATATACACACACACACGTATATGTGCTATTAGTTCTGTTCCTCTAGAGAACCGTGACTAATACATGTATCTATCGAGATAACAATATTATTTTTGTTTTTCATTCTGTTTATGTGATGTATCACATTTATTGACTTGCGTATGTTAAACCATCCCTGCATCCCTGGTATGAAACCCACTTGATCATGGTGGATTATCTTTTTGATATGCTGTTGGATGGATTAACCAGTATTTTGTTGAGAATTTTTGCATCTATGTTTATTAGGGATATTGGTGTGTAGTTTACTTTTTTGGTTATGTCTTTTCCTGCTTTTGGCTTCATAGAATGATTTAGGGAGGATGCCCTCTTTACCTTTTGAAATAGTTTCAGTAAGATTGAGACCAATTCTTCTTTGAATGTCTGATGGAATTCAGCTGTGAATTCATCTGGTCCTGGACTTTTTTTGGTTGGCAATTTTTTTTTATTGCTCTTTCAATCTTGCTACTTGTTATTGGTCTGTTCAGTTTCTGTTTTTTCCTGATTTAATCTGGAGGGTTGTATATTTCCAGGAATTTATCAATATCAATCTATTCTAGATTTTCTAGTTTGTGTGTGTAAAGGTATTCATGGTAGCCTTGAATTTCTGTGGTATCAGTTGTAATATATCCTGTTTCATTTCTACTTCAGCTCGTTTGGGTCTTTTCTTCTCTTGGTTAATTTCACTAATGGTCTATCAATTGCTTATCTTTTCAAAGAACCAGCTTTTTGTTTCATTTATCATTTTTCATGCTTCAATTTTATTTAGTTCTGCTCAGATCTTTGTTATTTTATTTCTTATGCTGGGTTTGAGTTTGGTTTGTTCTTGTTTCTCTAGTTCCTTGAGGTTTGACCTTAGATTGTCTTTTTGTGCTCTTTCAGACATTTTCATGTAGGCAGTTAATGCTATGAACTTTCGTCTTAGTACTTCTTTTGCTGTATTCCAGGGTTTTAATAGGTTGTGTCACTATTATCATTCAGTTCAAAGAATTTTTAAATTTCCATCTTGATTTTAATGTTGACTCAAAGATCATTGAAGAGCAAGTTATTTAATTTCCATGTATTCACACAGTTTTGAGGGTTCCTTTGGAGTTAATTTCCAGTTTCAGTCCACTGTGGTCTGAGAGAGTACTTGATATAATTTTGATTTTCTTAAATGTATTGAGACTTACTTTGTGACCTATCATATGGTCTACCTTGGAGAATGTTCCATGTGATAATGACAAAAATGTATATTCTGCAGTTGTTGGGTAGAATGTTCTGTAAATATCTGTTAAGTCCATTTGTTCTAGGGTATAGTTTAAGTCCATTTTGTCTTTGTTGACTTTCTTGATGACCTGTCTAGTGCTGTCAGTGAAGTATTGAAGTCCCCCACTATTATTGTGTTGCCACCTATCTCATTTATTAGATCCAGTAATAATTGTTTTATAAATTTGGAACCCCTAGTGTTAGGTGCATATATATTAAGGATTGTGATACTTTCCTGTTAGACTAATCCTTTTGTCATTATATAGTGTTCCTCTTTGTCTTTTTTTTTTTAAACTGTTGTTGCTTTAAAGGCTGTTTTGTCTGATATAACAATAGCTACTCCTGCTCACTTTTGGCTTCCATTTGCATGAAATATTTCCACCCCTTTACCTTCAGTTTATGTGAGTCCTTATGTGTTAGGCATTCTCTTGAAGACAGCAGATACTCGATTGGTGGATTTTTACCCATTCTGCCAATCTGTATCTTTTAAGTGGAGCATTTAGATTATTGACATTCAACATTAGCATTGAGATGTGAGGTACTATTTTATTCATCATGCAGGTTGTTGCCTTAATACCTTGTTTTTTCCATTTCATAGTGTTGTTGAAGAGTGATGGCTAAATGTATCCAGCATAATTCACCTACACTTAGTTTTCTAGATAATTGAGTTGGGTGGCCCCATTTTAATAATGACAAACATGAAATTCTAAATGCAATATCATCTTGGAGAGATTATTTGATTTTTTCCTATAGGAATTGTCTCCAAACTGCTTTCTAGACAGCCTCACAAAGCATCTAGAATGTATAAATTTGACTTTCATAATGCATTAATGATATGGTTTGGCTGTGTTCCCACCCAAATCTCATCTTGAATTGTAGTTCCCATAATTCCCATGTGTCATGGGAGAAATGTAGTGGGAGTTAATTGAATCATGGGGGCAGATCCCCCATGCTGTTCTCATGATAGAGTGACTCTCATGAAATCTGATGCTTTTATAAGCATCTGACATTTCCCCTGATTACACTAATTCTCTCTTCTGCTGCCATGTGACAAGGTGCCTTCTGCCATGATTATAAGTTTCCTAAGGCCTCCCCAGCAATGCGGAACTGTAAGTCAATTAAACCTCTGTTGTTTATAAATTACCCAGCCTCAGGTATTTCTTCATAGCAGTGTGAGAATGGACTAATACAGTAAATTAGTACCAGGAGTGGGGTGCTACTATAAAGATACCCAGGAATGTGGAAGTGACTTTGGAACTGGGTAACAAGCAGAGGTTGGGACAGGTTAGAGGGCTCAGAAGAAGACATGAACATGTGGGAAAGTTTGGAACTTCCTAGAGACTCAGAGGGCTCCGAAGACAGGAAGATATGGGAAAGCTTGAAACTTCCTAGAGACTTGTTGAATGGTTTTGACCAAAATGCTGATAGTAATATGGACAATGAAGTCCAGGCTGAGGTGGCCTCAGATGGAGATGAGAAACTTGTTGGGAGCTGGAATAAAGGTGATTCTTGCTACGCTTTAGCAATGAGACTGGCAGCATTTTGCCCCTGCCCTAGAGATATGTGGAACTTTGAACTTGAGAGAGATGATTTAGTGTATCTGCCAGAAGAAATTTCTAAGCAGCAAAGTGTTCAAGAGGAAGCAGAGCATAAAAGTTTGAAAAATTCGCATCCTGATGATGCAATAGAAAATAAAAACCCATTTTCTGGAGAGAAATTCAAGCCCACTGCAGAAATTTGCATCAGTAAGGGGGAGCTCAATGTCAATCACCATGACAATGGGGAAAATATCTCCAGGGAATGTCAGAGACTTTCACAGCAACCTCTCCCATCACAAGCCCAGAGGTCATCCTTAAGTGAAAAAATCAACCACAGGAGATGACATGATAATAGGCTTATTACAGTAGAGGAAGGTACAAAGTGTTTCTCATCATTGGTGTGTTTGTTAAAATGGGGAGGGGTTACTGAGTGAGTGGGCAGTGGGTGGTGGTGGTGACAACCACATTCTCTCACTGTGGCCCAACACTTTTGAAGCAGTTTCCCATTTCTCCATTAGATGTGTCTTCTCCACATGCAGAAAATGTAGTCTCATAGCTTCCCTATTGGGTGCTGGACTGTTGGCATTTCATTATTTTTTTTAAATCAAAGACATGGATATCTTTTTTCTTAGTTGATTTCTAGGACTTCAAGGTTATTTGGGGGAAGAAGTTGCTTGAGGAGGCTCCTGGGTGGACCATGGAGTCCCTCCTAGGGATTTATTTGGTGCTCCTGGTGTGGGTGACTATCTCCCTGAGTCCCAAAAGACAGCACATTCTGCCGGGTACCCAGAGGTGGGGACAGATGCTAACAGGTCCATCTTATAAGTGCAACATGAAATTTAAGGTCAGGGAATCTCTTAACTTTTCTTGAAGGACCTCATATTTAGCTTCTTGACTCAAAATCATTTGTGGATTTGAACAGGTTTCCTCTGCAATGTACTCTCTGGAGGGGAATACATTGAAAATACAGTTCATTTTCAGATACTCAATGGGATTGAAAAGTTGAATTGTGTGCTTTCTTGCAGTGAGCACAGAGGAATTTGCTGTCCCATGCCACTGGAACATTTTTAGGAGCACCATTCTCTTCCAGAGGGCTTGAGTAAGGTCAGTGAGGAATTAACATGTAGCATATTGGCAACTCCAGGGTTGAGCAGGGAGACACACATGTTTTTCTGATGTGTGAAGTTCTGAGGGCATTTTCCAAAGTACTTGTTCACTGAGCAGGTGTTTCCACTACTTTCATTAAGTCAGGGGATATGGAAGCCACTTTTCCAGCAATCAAACTCAATGAGAAGATGAACAAGAAGTGTTCTGAAAGTAAGCAGAAAAGGCCCTTTCCATGAATTTTCCTAATTTTTAGATTTCTCTTAAACAACATGCCTGAAGTTACAACCACATCCTTCTCTAGCAGCTTCTAAATGAGAAAATCATCAAAAGGGTATTTAGTACTCAAGTGGTGGACACAGGATAAATGCTGAAAATCAGTGCTCGATTCGAAGATAGTGATGTTCCAGGATGTTGGAGTCTCTCAGGTGTCAGTAGGGAGGCGGGCCGGGAACTTCTCCCAGTAACCAGAAAGAAGAGCCTCAGGGAGATGAGGATGTCTCACAGCCAGGGACGGGACAGTAAAGGGCCCCATGTGAGTGCATCACAGGGATCTGTTCCTGTTTAGACTCCAATGCTCAGTACCCAGTGCAGAACATGGCAAGACTTCAGCAAATACATCAGTCAGCTGGATGAAGGAGGAAGGTGTGAGCCAGCAAAAAAAAGCTTGTGATTTTATTGGAGCATGAATTTAAAAGTGTTGATGTGGCTGGGCGCGGTGGCTCATGCCTGTAATCCCAGCACTTTGGGAGGCCGAGGTGGGTGGATCACGAGGTCAGGAGTACGAGACCAGCTTGACCAACATGGTAAAACCCCATCTCTACTAAAAATACAAAAATTAGCCGGGCATGGTGGCAGACGCCTGTAATCCCAGCTACTTGGGAAGCTGAGGCAGAGAATTGCTTGAACCCAGGAGGCGGAGATTGCAGTGAGCTGAGATCATGCCACTGCACTCCAGCCTGGGTGACAGAGCGAGACTCCATCTCAAAAAAAAAAAAGTGTTGATGTACCTACCTTGCAAGGAGGTAGATAGGTAGACAGAAGCATGGATAGATGGATGGATATTCTTTTTCTGTGTTTTTCTATTTCTGTTCTTTCTCTGTGTTTTGTCTCTTTCTCTTGCTCTGTCTGTATCTTCCACTGTTCCTTCATAATCATGTCTTAGCCATCATCAGTGACATCTTTTATCTGGTCTTATAAGATCTTGTCTGTCTGTTGTATTAGTAGCCACAGGACAGAAAAAGGAAAGGAGTCGTGAAAAACAAGATAAGGAAAAAGATGCTCCTGACATGGGGCATCGGGAGGATGTGTGGCCCTGAGGCTCCCGGGAGACAGGGGCTGCGCCTCACTGCAGAGTCCATCCTGCTGAACACAGAGGGGAAAAGCGCCCTGACAGCCCCGTCCGTGCTGCTCAGAAAAGACGGCTCCGTCTCCAGATCCTTCTCTCTATGTCCTTCAGTCTTGGCTCTCTAGGTACAATTTACTGCTATGAAAAGGGATTTGAGAATTCCCAGAGGAGCCTTTCAGCCTCTTTGCATGGCTCTTTCTGGCCTTTCAAAAGCGCCAGAGACATCAGAAATGAAATCGTACACACTTATTCGGAGTTTTCCACAATCATTGAAATTTCTGTGAGTGCCAAAGTTAAGTTTTTGGCAACCCCGTCAAAGCCGGGTGTGCCCAGGACAGTCAACTCAGGCGCTGGACTCTCATTCTGGTTGGATTTTATGACAGCCGTATTCGCCATAAGAATTCTAGAGCCAGACCTTGTTACTTCACAATTGCCTCACGTTGCAGGACAAGCAAATCTAGCCTGAGTCCTGTGGATTCCAGGGCTGCTCAGGAGACGCCTCCATCCTGGCGTGGATGACCTCAGGATCAGCCCCGTCTGCCCCACTCAGCCCGCAGCCTGGTCCCCGAAAGCGCTCAGTCAGAATCCGAGAGCACTGTGGCGGCGCCCCCGTGTGGCCACAGGACTGAAGACAGAGGACCCCGCTCCCCTTTCTCCCCAGCCAGGACGTCCCAGGCTCTCCCCCTGTTCCCCGCACCTGGACGGGACTCTGCACAGAAGAGAGTCTCCCGGTCTCGTGTCAGGCTCTGAGTTCATCCAGCTTCCCAAAATCCATGTTGATATGAACGTTTTCTCCCACAACTGATTGACTGGACTTTTGTCTCAGGGCAGAGGGAGGCCTCCAGACCAAAACAGCAGGATCAGGTCTGGAGCTGACTCAACCCCAAACCCTTGCTAATGCACGACCCAGTCCCCCAGCCTCCAGGATGGGACCTTGGCCTCCTGTCCCCTCCCTTGTTCCTGCCACTGCTCCTGCAGGTGGAGGCTGCTCATCCCAGGAATCAGTCTGTGAGCTCCAACCTTGGGGCCTCGGTCCAGGAAGGAGGGAGGCTCCAGAGAGCAGAAGGGAGATGAAATGGATCATAAGAGAAGAAGGAATCATACCAAACACTGGAACTGTAGGTCAATTAAACCTTTTTCTTTATAAGGGGGGGGAGGAAGAGGAGGAGGAAAAAGGAGGAGGGTGAAAGGAGTCAGGGAGGAGAGAAAAGTGGGAAGTGTTTCTTTAGAAGGGGTGTGTGTGTGTGTGTGTGTGTGTGTGTGTGTGTAGGTGTGTGTAAAGCAGGAGGGAGTTCCTAGGATCCTGAAGAAAAGAGAGTGAAGGACAGGGGCTAAGGGGCCCAGCCCTGGTAGGTTGAGGGCCCCACTTTCTGTGCTCGGGCCTTACTGTCCTAGCAGAGTCCAGCCCCGGGAAGCCTGGGGTCACAGCACTCGTCTTGCTGGATGGCTGCCTCTTCATTGTCTTTGACAGCAGGAGCTACCTTGCCAGGCCCAGTGGCCACAGGGTCACAGGCAGAGAGCAGGTCCCTCTGCTGGCAGCCAAGGAGATGCTCTTGGAGGATACGTGCACAACTTAGCTGGGAGTCTGAAGATGGTGGTGGGTTACAAAGAGCTCAGCGATGAGCCTGGCCCAAGATTCTGACCCCTTGCCCTGGATCCTGAGGGTTCCACCCTTCCCTATTCCCAACAGGTCTCAAGAATTCTTCTGTTAGTCTCCTGCCCTCTTGGGACAGCCCCGCACTTCCCTCACTTTGATACCCTGGTACCCAGGCATCTGCCTCCTTCATTCTCCTCCAGCTACCCAAGCACCCCCAGGCCCTGCTCTCTGCCAACCCTGATCCCTGAACTCCAGCACTTTCCAAACCCACCCCCGAATTGCTGGATAATATAGTGGTTCTATTTTTAGATTTTTTAAAACTCTCCATACTGTCTTCTATAGTGGCTGTACTAATTTAAATTCCTATCAACAGCGTACAAGAGTTCCCTTTTCTCCACATCACCAGCATCTGTTATTTTATTTTATTTTATTTATTTTATTTTTGTCTTTTCAGTTGTGGCTATTCTATCTGGGGTAAGATGACATCTCATTGTGGTTTTGATTTGCATTTCCCTAATGATTAGTGATGTTGAACATTTTTTTATGTATCTGTTGGCCATTTATATTCTTCTTCTGAAAAATATTTATTCATGCCCTTTGCCCACTTTTTAATAAGATTGTTTGGTTTTTTAATTCTTGAGTTGTTTGAGTTTCTTATAGTATTCTGGATATTAGTCCCTTGTCAGATAAATTGTTTGAAAATGTTTTCTCCTGTTCAGCAGATTGTCTCTTCACTCTGTCAATTGTTTTATTTGCTATGCAGAAGCTTTTTTAGTTATTATAGTCCTATTTGTCTGGTTTTATTTGTGTTTTCTATATTTTTGAAGTCTTAGCCATAAAACCTTTGCCCGGACCACTGGCCTAGAATGTTTCCCCTGTTTTCTTCCAGTTGTTTTATAGTTTCAGGTCTTTCATTTTATTTAAGTCAACTTGAGTTGATTTTTAATAGGGTGAGAGATAAGAATCTAATTTCATTCTTCTGCATACGGGATATCCATTTTCCCAGCCCTTTTACTGAAGAGGGTGTCCTTTTCCCAAATGTGTGTTCTTGGCACCTTTGTTAAAAGTCAGTTGGCTGTAAATATATGGATTTATTTCTGCATTCTCTATTATGTTCCATTGATTGGCATGTCTGTTTTTATATCAATACCATTCTGTTTTGGATACTATAGCCTTGTAATGTATTTTAAAGTCAAGTAGTGTGATGGCCCTAGCTTTGTTCTTTTTGCTCAGGATTTCTTTGGCTATTTGGACTTTTTAAAAATGTTTTGGGTCCATAGAAATATTAGAATTATTTTTTCTAATTCTGTGGAAAAATAACCTTGGTATTTTTGTTGGAATTCCCTTGAATCTTTAGATTGCTTTGGGAACTATGGTCATTTTACTAATATTAATTCTTCTGATTCATGAGCATGGAATATCTTTCCATTTGTTTGTGTCCTCTTCTTTCTTTCATCAGTGTTGTATAGATTTATTTTTAAGAGATCTTTGACTTCCTTGCATAAACTTATTCCTAGGCATTTTTTTCTAGTTATCGTAAATGGAATTGCTTTTTTGATTTCTTTCTCAGCTACTTCATTAATAATGTATAGACATTATACTGATTTTTGTATGTTGATTTTGCATCCCACAACTCTACTGAATTTACTTATCATATCTAATAGTTCTTTGATGGAGTCTTCAGATTTTTCTAGAAATAGGATCATTTCATTGGCAGGGAGGGGAGAGAGGCTGAAGGTTAAGCTGATGGCCAATGATTTAATGAATCATGCCTAAGAAATATGACTTCCATCAAAACCCAAAAGGGCAGGGTTTGGAGAGCTTCTGGATAGCTGAACACAGGGAAGCTAACAGGAGGTGAACAAGAACTCAGCCATGTGCCAGAGAGGGTGGCGCATCCCAACCCCATGGGACAGAAGCTCCTGCACTGGAAACCCTTCTCACCTTGCCCTATGTGTCTGTTCATGGGGCTCTTTGTGTCTTTTAAAATATCTTTTTAAATAAACTGGTAAATATATGTAAGTGTTTTCCTGAGTTCTGTGAGCCATTCTAGCAAATTAATCAAACCTGAGAAACAGGTTATGGGAACACTGATTTAAAGCAAGTTAGTTAGAAACACGGGCAAAATGGCTTGAGACTGGCATCAGGAGTGGGAGGCTTGAGACTGGCATCAGGAGTGGGAGGGGGACAGTCATGGGGACTGAGCTCTCAACCCATGGGATGCGATGCTATCTCCAGGGAAAGAGTGGCAGAATTCAGTTAGAGGACACCCAGCTGGTGTCCATCACAGAACTGATTGCTTGTTTGTTGGAGAAATTCCCTACATTTGGTCAGAGAAGTCTTCTGTGTTGATAGTTGTTGTGGTGTGAGAGCAGTGGAAAACAACGTGAGATTTTCCACACTCAGAGTGGATCTAAATGTTGAGTTGCTTTTAAATTTGACTTAGTCGTGGCCTGACTAAACAGGATTAGATGTGAGAAATTTTTTGGTATAATGTATAGGAAGGAACTAAAGGCTGATGAGGATGGGAGTGTTGGAATAGATGTTCTGTGCATGAGTACCCCCTTCATCCTCTCTGTCTCCCAAGAACCAAAAAATACTCTCTCTGCAGCTTTAACAAATACTGGTTTGGAAGAGAGTGACTGCGTTTTTCAAAGTTCTAAATGGCTATGATTGCAGGACCTTTGTGATGCTCAGGAATGTCCTGATGTCAGCGGAGATGAAGGAAAACCAGAGATTCAAAAGTCAAAGGAAAGGGCCATTTACCATAATTCATATCATACATATTTCCTGGAAAAAAAAGAAAAATTCCTTGGGGAAAAAGCATCAAAATCATCAGGAAGTCTTCCACACAGAAATGACTTCATTAATTTGATCTCTGTCATTCTTTCTTTTCATTCATGTATTATTATCCATAGAGATTTCTATCCTGTGGGTTTTTTTTTAATTTTTGTTTGTTTGGTTTTTTCAGACACAGTGAGACCCTGTCTCAAACAAACAAACGTCACAGGCTGCAGTGCAGTGGCACAATCATTGCTCACTGCAGCCTCGACCTCCCTGTCTGAAGCAATCCTCCAGCCTCAGCCTCATGAGTAGCTGAAACTACAGGAACATGCCACCATGCCCAACTAATTTTTTAAAAAATTTTGTTGTAGAGATGAGGTATCACTATGTTGCCGAGGCTGGTCTCAAACTCCTGGGTTCAAACAATTCACCCACCCTGGCTCCCCAGAATGCTGGGATTACAGGCCTGAGCCACGTACCCAGCCTCTATCCCATGTTTTGATTCATCATCATCTCCTAAGCCCTTTCCCAGCATCGATAGTCTACTAAACATGCCATGATTAAATTATATCTCTATACCTTGATATAAACAAAAAATTATATGAGCAGTAAAGACAAATATGAAAAAGTAAAATTACTGCCAAAGTTATTAGGAGGATAACCTAAATTATTTGGGTAGGAAAATCTTTCTTTTTTATTTTATTTTTTTTTCCAGCCAGGGTCTCATTCTGTCACTCAGGCTAAATTACAGTGGCCCGATCATGGCTCACTGCAGCCTTGACCTCCCAAGATTCAGGTGATCCTCTTGCCTCAGCCCCCTGAGTAGCTGAGACAACAGGCATGTGAGACAATGCCTGGCTCCTTTTTATATTTTTAGTAGAGATGGGGTTTTGCCATGTTACCCAGGCTGGTCTCAAACTTCTAGGCTCAAACGATCCACCCACCTCAGCCTCCCAAAGTGCTGGGATTACAGGCATGAGGCACTGTGCCAGCCTTTTTTTTTTTTTCACATCTGCTGGAATGGAAAATATTTCTTAAATGAGACACAAATGTATCAAATTGAAAATGTTTAAACTTCAAAGGACTTACATACATATACAGTCATTCTTCGCTCAATGGTGAGATAGCTTCTGAGAAATGAGTCCTTAGGTGATTTTGTCATGTGTGGACATCATAGAGTGTCCTTACATGAACCTAGATGGTATAACCTACTTCACACCTAGGCTACGTGATAAGCCCATTGCTTCTAGGCTACAAATTATATAGCATGTTACCGTATGGAACATTGCAGCCAATTCTAACACAATGGTAAGTATTTGTGGATCTAAGCATGTGTAAACAGAGAAAAGGTACAGTAAAAATGTGATTAATAAAAAGATCTTTAAAATGGCGTATCTGTCTAGGACACTTACCATGAATGGAGCTTGCAGGACTAGAAGTGCCCTGGGTGAGTGAGTGAGTGAGTGGTGAGTGAATGTGAAGGCTAGGGCATTACTGTACACTACTTAGACTTTATAAACTTAGGCTACACTAAATTGATTTTAACATTTTCTTTCTTTAATAATAAATTAACTTATTAATAATTAACTAATAATTTTATTATTTATTTATTAACAATTAATAACTAATTAATAATTAGTTACCATAGCTTTCTGTGACCTTTTGAACTTTTTTGTTTTATTATTATACTTTAAGTTTTAGGGTACATGTGCACATTGTGCAGGTTAGTTACATATGTATACATGTGCCATGCTGGTGTGCTGCACCCATTAACTCGTCATTTAGCATTAGGTATATCTCCTAATGCTATCCCTCCCCCTTCCTGCCACCCCACAACAGTCCCCAGAGTGTGATGTTCCCCTTCCTGTGTCCATGTGTTCTCATTGTTCAATTCCCACTTATGAGTGAGAACATGCGGTGTTTGGTGTTTTGTCCTTGCGATAGTTTACTGAGAATGATGATTTCCAATTTCATCCATGTCCCTACAAAGGACATGAACTCATCCTTTTTTATGGTTGCATAGTATTCCATGGTGTATATGTGCCACATTTTCTTAATCCAGTCTATCATTGTTGGACATTTGGGTTGGTTCCAAGTCTTTACTATTGTGAATAGTGCCGCAATAAACATACGTGTGCATGTGTCTTTATAGCAGCATGATTTATAGTCCTTTGGGTATATACCCAGTAATGGGATGGCTGGGTCAAATGGTATTTCTAGTTCTAGACCCCTGAGGAATCGCCACACTGACTTCCACAAAGGTTGAACTAGTTTACAGTCCCACCAACAGTGTAAAAGTGTTCCTATTTCTCCACATCCTCTCCAGCACCTGTTGTTTCCTGACTTTTTAATGATTGCCATTCTAACTGGTGTGAGATGGTATCTCATTGGGTTTTGATTTGCATTTCTCTGATGGCCAGTGATGGTGAGCATTTTCTCATGTGTTTTTTGGCTGCATAAATGTCTTCTTTTGAGAAGTGTCTGTTCATGTCCTTCGCCCACTTTTTTATGGGGTTGTTTGTTTTTTTCTTGTAAATTTGTTTGAGTTCATTGTAGATTCTGGATATTAGCCCTTTGTCAGATGAGTAGGTTGCGAAAATTTTCTCCCATTTTGTAGGTTGCCTGTTCACTCTGGTGGTAGTTTCTTTTGTTGTGCAGAAGCTCTTTAGTTTAATTAGATCCCATTTGTCAATTTTGGCTTTTGTTGCCATTGCTTGGTGTTTTAGACATGAAGTCCTTTATAAACTTTTTAAACTTTTCTACTCTTTTGTAATAGCACTTAGCTTAAAACGTCAACACGTTATACAGCTCTACAAAAATATTTTTCTTTATATTCCCATTCTAGAAGCTTATTCCTATTTAATTATCTTTACCTTTTAATCTTTTTTGGTAAAAATAAAGACATACATTAGCATAGGCTGACACAGGGTCAAGACCAACAATATCAACCATCTTCAGCCTTCACATCTTGTCCCACTGGAAGATTTTCAGGTGTAATAACACGCATGGAGCTGCCATCTCCTATGATAACAATGCCTTCTTCTGGAATACCTCCTAAAGGACCTGGCTGAGGCTGTTTTAATTTTTTTATATATATAGAAGGAGCACACTCTAAAATAACAATAAAAAGTATAGTAAATACATAAAACATAGCATAGTCATTTATTATCATTATGAAGTGTTATGTACTGTGCATAGCTGTATATGCTAGACTTTTTATAGGACTGGCAGTGCAGTAGGTTTGTTGACAGCAGCATCACCACAAACACATGATTAATGCATCGTACTATGAGGTTATGATGGCTTCAATGTCACTAGGTGATAGGAATTTTTCAGGTCCATTCAACTCTCATGGGACGACAGTCATATATGCAATTCATCATTGACCCAAACATCATTATACAATGCATGACTCTATAACACAGTGGGGTGTGTGTGTGTGTGTTTGTATTTTGTGTGTAAGATTAACACTGAAATTGAGGTATCAACTAGGCACCAAGGTAAAAACATATTAACTTTTCCTGTGAGGTGTCAAATTACCCCATGCAGAATTTGAAATGCAAACGACCATTGGAGGCTTAGAGGTCTTCGGGTTCAAACCGTCAGAGAATAGCTCATTTTAAACTCATCCTCCCACGGTAAACAAGTATAAAAGTCACAAAAAACATACAATGCAGTTGTGCAGCCACAAAACAGCAACCAGCACAGGACTATCACCTTTTGGAGAATGGAAGTTCCTGAAAGGGAGATTCACATCCTTATCAGCTTTCTTTCCAGAAGCATTTGCCAAAATACAATGAAGAGAAATGGAACCCAAGCAGAGAAAATCAGTCTCATCGGCAAAGGAAACAGAGATCAGAGTTCAGGCTTGGCACATTGACTGGGATTTAGGGGTAGGGTGCTGAGGGAGGGAGTTACAGACAAGAAACCCCCAAAATCTGCACTCCTGAGCTGCATATGCTCCAGATGACACTCTAAGAAGCCCACTGGAGAACAGCTTCTTGGAGATTGCATGCTAAGTAGAAATGTCACAGGCTCCATAGTGTGAGGAGATGTTGGAATTTCAGCCCTGCAAAACCTGCGTTGAGACATCAGGATGGGGAAGCCGCGTAAGTGAGGACCGTGACCTTGGAGTAAGAACCACACTGAAATAGGCTCACCCTAGCAAAGGCTAAAATCAAGAGTAAGCAGAATCAAAGTGGGTCTGATTTTTACTAAAGGTGATTCTTTGATAATTACCTAACTGTCAAACTATTACCAGTCTTTGGAGGAAGATAACAAAACCCAGATCTTCTAAAATCCATCATGTAGAATATGTGCCATGCCAAGCAGCAGAGAGAATGCAGCAACTAAAGAAGAAATAATCAACAGAAGCCAACTCAAAGATGATCTGAATATTGAAGTCAGCAAACAAGGACATTCTTCAAAATATTTATGATTAATATGTTAAGGAAAATAGAGGAAAAGATGGGCAAACTATTTCAAAATTCCCAGAAAGATTAATCATAAGAAGAGAAAAAACACAAATGAACACTATGAGAAGGGACATTATAAAACTGTAGATTTTATTAAAACAAAAATAAGAGAAAGTTAGACACAACTTCATGGAAAGAGCTTTTAAAATTTAGGTATAGTGACATGAGTTCTTGAAAAAGACGGTTGAACAGAGCCAACAGAAAACTAAGTAGAAAATATAAATAATCCTATATCCATTAAGAAATTGAGTTCTAAATACATTCCTTCCCACCAGAGAAACTCCATGCCCAGATTTCTTCACCTGTCAATTCTTTCAAAAACTTTTTAAAAGGCATGTCAGCCTTATACAGTCTTCCTCTGGTACCTTTTGGGATGGGTTCTAGGGCACCTGTGGATACCAAAATCCATGGATGCTCAGGTCCCATATATAAAATAGCCTAGTATTTGCCTATTAGCTATGCACATCCTCCCATATACTTTAAATCATCTCTAGATTACTTATAATTCCTAATGCAATGTAAATGATTTGTAAATAGTTGTTACACTGTATTGCTTAGGAAATAATGACAAGAAAAATGTCTGTACATCTTCAGTACAGACATAACCACTGTAGGTACTCCTAACTACAGAGTATACATCAGCAGCAACATAACATTTTCAATCCTAAGGTTGTTGAATTCACAGATGTGGAACTCACAGACATGAAAGGCAGACTGTGTGCTATGGTTTGGCTGTTTGCCCACCCAAATCTCATCTTGAATTGTAGTTATCATAATCCCCACGCGTTGTTGGAGGGACTCGATGGGAGACAATTTAATCAAGGGGGTGGTTCCCCTCATGCTGTTCTCATGATAGTGTGTTCTCACAAGACTTCATGGTTTTATAAGGGGCTTTTTCTGCTTCGGTTTGGCACTTCTCCTTGTTGCTGCCATGTGAGGAAGGATGTGTTTGCTTCCTCTTCTGCCATGATTATAAGTTTCCTGAGGCCTCCCCAGTCATGCTGAACTCTGAGTCAATTAAACCTCTTTCCTTTTAAATTGCCCAGTCTTGAGTATGTCTTTATTAGCAGTATGATAACAGATTAATACACTGTCTTATATTTTTTAGATAATAAAGAGTAAACACCTTCCAACTAATTTTATGAGGCAACATAAGTCAGATAAGGACCTAAACATGACAATTATATTACAAGAAAAATAAACTCATCATCGAAATGATCTGATGAACATAGCCACCAAAATTCCAATTAAAATATTAGTAAATAGAACCAAATAATATATGAAATGGATAACACATAATGACCAAATGGGATTTATAAGAGAAATACATGGTAGATTTAACTTCAAAATGTCAGAATAATCTACCCCAAGAATAGAGAAAAGTAGGACAACATGTGGTTATATCAATAGATGCAGGAAAACCATTTGATAAAGTTCAGTAGGCATTCATAATAAAAACTAAATAAACTAGACATAAAAGGGAACTTCCCTAACAGAATACAGTTATTTACAACAAAGAAATACAAAGAAATACCTAAATCTAAAGTCATAATTAACGAAGAAATATTAAACACTCCTCTGAGGTGGGGACAAGAGAAGGATGTCCACTATCATCACTTTTATTTAACATTGTACTGTGTGTCCAACAGCAAAAATAGATTACATAAGATATATGACTGTCTTCTTCAAGGAAAACATTATCGTGTATGAAGAAAATTTAAGAAGCTCTATGAACAGACTATTAAAAATAAGTGAATTTGGCAAGGCCAGTATAAAGCAAAAAGTAACATTTCTATACGTGAGTAATAAACAGTGAGAAGAACTGACATTCTTTAAATAGCTCTATGTACAATACCACAAAGAAACATAAATTGTAGAAATAAATATAAAAGTTATACAAAATCTCATCATTCAGAATTACAAAACATTGCTGAGACAAATTAAGTGGATAGTTATTTCATATATATGAGGAAGACAATATTGCTAAGATACCGTTTATCCACAAAGTGATCCATGGAGTCAATGCAATTGTAATAAAACTCCCAAGAGTTTTTTTTGTGGGAATTGACATGCTCCTTCTAAAATGTATACAAAAATGTGAGGAGCTTAAAATAGCCAGAACAATATTGGAAGAGAACACAATTGGAGGACTTAAACTATCAGATATCAACAGATATTTGAAAGCCACAGTGATTAGAAAAGTGAAGTATTTGTTCAGGGATAAACAAACAGGAAAAAATTATTAAAATAGAGCCCTCTCTATTTTCTTCTATGAGTTTTATAATTTAGCCCTTACATGTAGGTCTCTGATCCATTTTGTGTTGATTTATACATATGCTGTGAGGTAGGGTTTCAACTTCTTTGTTTTTTTTCTTTTGCAGAGACAGTGTCTGTGTCACCCAGGCTATAGTGCAGTGGTGCAATCAGAGCTCATGGTAACCTTGAACTCCTGGGCCCAAGCAATTCTCCTGTCTCAGCCCCTCAAAATGCTGAGATTGCAGGTGGAGTCACCACTTCCAGCCCCTCAACTTCATCCTTTAGAATGTGGGCATCCAGGTGCCCAGCTCCATTAGATGAAGAGTGTATACTTTAACACATTGAGTTGTCTTAACACCTTTACTGAGGTTCTTTGCATATATCTCTTTATGTGTCTCTGAGCTGTTGTCTAGTGCCCTTTCATTTTAATCTGAATGACTCACATTAGTATTTCTTATAGGAAAAATCTACTGGCAATGGAATCTTTCAGTTAGTTGTTAATTAACTGGAAACATCTCAATTTCTCCTTCATTTATTTTAATTTATTAATTGTGATAAAATGCACATAAGATAAAATTTACCATCTTAACCATTTGTAGTAGTAGTGTTCAGTAGTGCTAAGAACATTCACACTGTTTTGCAAACCAATCTCCAGAACTCCTTTCATATTGCAAAACTGCATATTTTCATTTTTGAAGAATAAGTTTTCTAGATATAGAACTTTTGGTTGACAGCTTTATTTTTGTAGCACTTTAAACATGTCATACCATTCTGACATTCCTCAGTGTTTTCTGGTATGAAATTGGCTGTTAAT
Organism: Homo sapiens; assembly: GCF_000001405.40. Lineage (NCBI taxonomy): Eukaryota > Metazoa > Chordata > Mammalia > Primates > Hominidae > Homo > Homo sapiens. The sequence continues at coordinate 2,761,159 of NT_167246.2, forward strand.
CTCAATGAGGTTCCCTTGTACATGATGCATTATTTGTTTCTTGCTGCTGTCCAAGTTCTCTCTGCTTCTATTTCAACAGTTTGGTTATAATGTTTCTTGGTTTGGATGTCTTTGAGTTTATTCTGCTTGGTAGATTCACAGATTTTTATCAACTTTGGCAAGGTTTCACCTGTTACCCTATATTTTTACTCTCTCTTTCTATCTCTCCTCTACTTTGGGAACTCCCATTATGCATCTGTCAGTCCACTTGATGCTGTACAGAGGTGTCATAGCCTCTGATCATTTCCCTTTATTTTTTTTTCTTCCCGCTCTTCAGATTGCATAATCGTAATTGGCCTATCTTCAATTTGCTGGTTCTTCTGCCTGCTAAACTCTGCATATATTAGTCAGCATGGCGGTGTCCCACAAGTCCCTTAGGCTCTGTTCACTATTTTTTGTTCCTTTTTTCATTTCTATTTCTCAAAGTCTATGATTTAAGATGACTTGGCTTCGAGTTTGCTGATTCTTTCTTCTACCTGTTCAAGTCTGCTATTGAACATCTCTAATGAATTTTTTTCAGTAATTATATTTTCCCTTCTAGAATTGCTGTTTCCTTATTATATTTTTAATGAGTCTTTATTTGGTGAGATATTGTTCTTCTGGTTCCTTTACATATATACATATATATATATACACACACACACATATATGTGTATATATATACATATATATATATATTTACATATATAGAGAGAGAGTCCACGGTCTTTTTTATCTATTTGAGCATATTTAAACTATTGGTTTAAAGTCTTGGTCTAGTAAGTCCAATGACTTGGCTTCCTTAGGGACAGGTTCTGCTGATGTATTTTTTTCTGCAAATGGGCCACTTTCTTAAACTTTTAAATACCTCAAGAATTTTCGCTGAAAACTGAACACTTTGAATACAACAATCTAGTAACTCTGGATACCATATTCTTTCCACTCCCCAGAGTTTCTTGTTGCCACTTGAGGATGGAGTTGTTTCTTAGTGACTTTTCTAAACTATTGTTAAGCTGTTCTTTGTCATGTGTGGTCACTAAAATCTATTCTGTTAGCTTCATGGTCAGCTAGTGATTTGACAGAGGTTTCCTTAAACAGCTGGAGCCAAAAAAATAAATAATTAATGCCCTCCCAGGCTTTGCAGATGGACTCTGAGTTGGGACACTTCTTCAACACTTAACCAGGCAGTTTAGACGTCCACCTTAACCTTCACTGGCTGCTTACTTGGAGGCTAAAGATCACCCAGAGGTAAAAGCCTAAGGTCATCTCAGGTCTTTTTAAAGAGTGTGGGCATCCAGGGCTAAATATCCAGTGTTTAGCCCTGGCCATGTATGTGACATTCTGATTTCCTCAGTATATGCGGGATATTTTGAAAGCCATATTGCCTTATGTATCTCCATCTCCAGCCTCTACCTCCCTAGGCTTTTCAGTCTGTCTGCTGTTAACCCATCCATCATTCCATGCCCCAGGCATCTGTGACTAGTATTTGCCTTTAAATGCTTTTGACAAACATTGCTATGGAGACCTCTCCAATCTTAATAAAGTTCCAAGAGGAGTGAAGCAAAGACCAGCCTCTAAGCTGATCTTTTTGGGGGCTATCATACATGTCAAAGGACACAAACACAATTCTTTGAAAAGAAAGTTCATTTTGCCTTTTCTGGCATCAGGAAACTACACCAGGAATGTGGGACACCGTCCCCATGGCTGCCTCATAGCTGAGGGTGTGGGGGTGGGAGTGAGTAGGTGGCTAAGGAATAGTGGCACATGCTCTCCTACCAAAATCTAGAGCTCCTTTTTCATTAAGCACTACTTTGGTTGTTGTAAAAAAAAAAAAAAATTCATAGACTCCAGAGTACAGAAAAACTTAATTTTGATAGTTTTTTTCCAGGTTAATAGTTGCTTTAGTTGGGGAATGTGTTGTTGGAGTTCTCTACCATTTTTGGTGAAGGCATTACAGTTGTCTTTTAATAAGATTTTAAAATTATGAAAAAATCTTATGTATCTACCCATGTGCTTACCATTTCTGGTGCTCTTCATTACATATTTGCTTTTGGTATAATTTTCTTTTTGCCTGAAGGACTGAAACATTTATTACAGTTCGTGTCTGCTGGTTATGTATTTTTTCACTCCCTATAAGTCTAAAATCCCTTTTTTTATAGATATCTTTAGAGTCTGTTAAGTAGCTTGATGCAATCATTACACATGGTATACATATATCAGTACATCACACAGTACCTCATGAATGTATTATTATATGTCAATTAAAATTATACATATATATATGTTTTTAAAAGGTTTTTTTTCTGGAAATAGAATCTAGTTTGACAGCAGTTGTCTTTCAGAACTTTAGCGATGTTGCTCATCTGTCCCTCATTTGCATTGTTTCCAATGAAATAACTGCTGTCATCTTTATTATTCTTCTTATGTGTTGTGTTTTGTGTTTTTCATTTTTGCTTTCTGCTTTTTCAATTTTCTCTCCTTCTCTGGTTTTGAACAAATACATGTTACTCTCACTCACAACTATAAAGCGAACTTAGGAAACAATCTATAGGGAGAGTTTGTTGATGATTGGTTATACATTTTCAGAAACAGTTGTTTATTCCTTCCTTTACAAAGGCTAATTTCCTTAGAATATTATTGTATTGAAGAATGTCATAAATAATTTTATTTGTCACCTGGACCTGGTGCCAAGATACGTGGTCAAGCATTATTCTGGATGATTTTTTTAGGATGTTTCTTGGATATGATTAACATATAAATTGCTATACTTTGAGTAAAGTAGATTGACCTCTATAATGTGGACAGGCTTCATTCAATTCATTGAAGGTGTAAATTGAATGAAACACTGACCTTCCCCAAGCAAGATGGAATTCTGTCCTGGGATTTGAACTGCAGTATCAGTCAGCTGACCCATAAAGAGCTGGTTGGTTTGTGTACAGCATTTGCAAGATGAATGGACAACACCCTGTTTGGAAGTCTACCCTTTTGATCAAAGAAGATAAAAACACAACAGCTCTTGTGGGCTGAATTGCAGGGTGTTTTCTTAGCAGTGATGGAAGAATTGAACAATGATAAAAGCTCCTATGTTTTAGTTTTACTGACTTATGGGCAGTGACTGATGGCCTGGCCATATAATTAATTAAGAAAGCAGTGGAAAACTGGCCTATGAAAAGAATGCCCATATGAGACACAGTCCTGTGGAAATCACTATGGTAATTTGAGGGGTGCATTAACGTAAGACTTGTTGATGCCTGATATAGATTGGATGTTGTCCCCACCCAAATCTCATGTCGAGATGTAATTCCCAGTGTTGGAGTTGGGGTCTGGTGGGAGGTGACTCAATCATGGGGTGGTTTCTCATGAATGGTTTAGTACCATCCCCTCAGTGCTGTTCAATACCCATCAGAATAACTCCCTTCCAGGTTTGGAAGGTGATTGAAATCAACAAGCATTTATCTCTAAGTGCTTGCCAGGTGCACCTGTAGTCCCAGCTATGAGAGTGTCTGAGGCAGAAGGATATCTTGAGTACAGGCATTTGGGTTTAGCCTGAGAAATATTTGAGTCTAGCCTGGGAAACATATCAAGACCACATCTCAAAAAAATTTACATTTGCTTGTGAAGATCACCGGGGTCTACGAAATAAGTAGACACTGAGGCTGTAGCAATGCAGAGATGGGCTGAATCAAGACATACTCCCCTTGCATCCCCCACCTCTAATAAGCACAAAATACTCAGTAAAACTGTTCTTTTTAACAAGACTGGGCACAGTGGCTCACACCTGTAATCCCAGCACTTTGGCAGGCCAAGGTGGGTAGATCACTTGAGATCAGGAGTTTGAGACCAGCCTGGCCAACATGGCGAAACCCTGTCTCAACTAAAACTACATCAATTAGCCAGGCATGGTGGTGCACGCCTGTAATTCCAGCTACTCAGGAAACTGAGGCAGGACAATGGCTTGAACCTGGGAGGCAGAGGCTGCAGTGAGCCGAGATGGCGCCACTATACTGCACCCAGGGCAACAGAGCAAGACTGTGTCTCAAAAGAAGAAAAAAAAAGAAGTATTCTCTTTAACAAGAAAAGAGACAGAGACAGAGACCAAAAAAAAAAAAAAAAAAACGTGAATGGGAGGTATTGCCACCATGTGGACCACTGAGCCACATTACACTAGGAAACACACTTGCCCAGAATGTCCAACAATGGTCAGAGAAATTTGTTCCTCAGAAGAAGAGTTTCAGAGAGAATTAAAATAGTCATTTGAAACATTGAGTGTATAAATCAGGAGCGGGGAGACATAAGCATGAAGGGCGGGCCTATACACCTTCATGAGTGTGCTCGCTCTTGACATGAGTGTGGACAAAGGAATGTCCCCACTAGAGAGTGTCCTCTTTTTCCCTGCTGGATCAGGGAAAGGTGCTGGTGTGATTCTACATACAATTCTTCCCTAAAAAATAATAAATAAATAAATAAATAAATAAATAAATAAATAAATAAATAAAAACAATCCTTCCCAAGGCCAGAAGACACTAGAATTATGACTATACTTTACCTCAACTTGCTTTTCTCATACCTGATGCAGTGGTCTCAGGACTAGGGATGCAAATAAAAGTCCAGGCACAGGAATTATTCCTGAGCAAGAAACCGTTAACATATTTAAAAACCATTATGCAAGACTGCCTAAGGGCCTGGAGTAGATGTGCCTTCACTGCATCTGGCAAAGTTGGAGCTAACATTGAATGCAGCTGTATTGCCTGGAAGCCAGATAGCCAACCAGTTCTCTGCCTGAATAACCCTAACCTCTATGAACTGGAATGGACTGATGGGAGACACTCGCTGTTACTAGCATGGTATAGCTCCCTGCATAGGCCAGCACAGCAGGAAAACCTAATGTCCCTTCCAAAATGAGAAATATTTGGTATAAATGCAGAAGAGGAAGAATAGTAGCTGAGGTGAAATGAATGAATAAATGGGGTATGTAATGAGGAAAATCCAATATAACATGATCTCCTCAAAAGAGGTATAAACGAATGATGATATTGTCTTTTATCTCATTTTTACCAGATGTCTGAAAGGTTGAAGCCATATGTTGCTGAGACCATTGCTATTTTTGGACTGCAATGGGCGAATTGATAATGACTAAACAGGACTCTGGTAATGGGCCAGTATCTTTTTACTGCTATGATTCTTCTGCTATAGGAGATCTGTGGTTGGCC